>NC_000022.11:31588351-31739867 GCF_000001405.40 Homo sapiens | reverse complement strand
CTGGCCCTGAGTATGTGTGTGTTTTGGCTACTTGTATAGTGCAGTATTACAAACTGCATAGATATAAGTGTTTCAGCAAATAACCTGTTACTTCCATTCACTGCAAGAAATGAAACATTACGAACACAGTGGAAGCTCTTTCTCTCTTAATATACCTCCACTTTCATCCTCTCAGACAACCATGTAATATTTTAGGCAGGTCATATTTAACCTCCTCAGGTGTGGTGTTAGGATCTAAAACAAGAAGCTGATAGCTGCCCTACTTAGCTCAAAGGGTTGTTAAGAGAATCAAATGAGTGATGACTGTGGAAAACACTTGGAAAATCTAAAGATGCAGGATAAAAATCAGGAAGGATTCTGCTAACGAGCTGGTTTAGTAGTGTCTTGTGCTAGCCTGGGTAGAGAGAGCTGAAGTATTTAGTAAGCAGTAAAGGAATGGAATCCCACTTTATCCCTATCCTCCCTCAAAGAGGAAAAGTCAGTATATGAAATTTTCCAGAGTTCCTCAGTATATATTCATTCAACAAATATTTGCCGAGTACGTACTATGGGATAGCATGGGGATATGGCAGTGAACAAAAAAGGTAAGGTTCATGCCCATGAAAACAAACAGAAAACCATCTTTATTTTCTCATTTACATCAGGTCTATCCTTGGATGCTTTAGGCATGTCTTATTCTCTTCTACATTGGCAGGCCCTTCACGTTTAAATTGAGAATTGTTCATAAGGCAGTATTTGAATTGAGATTTGATTGAGAGCTGTCTAATCTCAAACGTTATTAAAGGTTAAGGTATTTATTTTTCTACAAATTCATTAAGGAGAAATTTTTGGTGCCAGATAATGCTGGCATTTAAAGTAGAACTTATTTTCTTCGTTGTAGCCGGTTTGAACTGAGGCAGCCTTCTTCTAACCTATCAAGGTTTTAAACTTTTATCCCTTCCTGTGATTTGTGTCAGGGTGAATCATTTGATGTAAAAGACTTGACTCCATAATCTGCATCTGTCCTAATGCTGTCATCTGGAGTAGAGACTCAGCCAGTTCCACTTGATTCCTCCATGTCTGCCGTGGTACAGGAATTATACTCTGAACTCCCAGTAAGTGTCTCCAGAGAGCTTCATGCTGACCCTGAGCCAAGTGTGATTCCAGATGTAAAACCTGGAGCCTCAAGCTCTCTTTTAAGTCAGAATAGGGCATTGCCCTTGGAGCTGCAGAGGACTCATGTGGAGAGTTGTTGTGAAGAAACCTATGAGACCTTGGATCATGGGAGTGAGCCTGGGCGATGTGGGCTAGTGGACTCCACAGCAGGAGGTTCTGTGGCATCTGGGATCTTGGATAGGGCAAAGAGAAGCGAGAGCATGGAGCCAAAGGTCTTCAGAGATCCAGGGGGCCAGGCAGGAATTATAAGAGAACCCTCTGAGGGAGCAAAGGAAGATCCACATCAACATTCCACAGCTGCTGAAGAAAAGACTAGCCCGAGTCAGGTAAGAAATGAAATCTCCATTCCGAAGAGTTGAGTGTGAATGACAGCTTTCTCTGGATAAAATACAGATGCTGACGGTTGGCTCATGATTTATTCTTGAAACATTTCCGAAATGTCGATTTTGAAGTTAACTTTGTTTTGATGATCTTTTAAAACATTTATGTCACATCAGACACTTGAAGAGAGGAAGTGCTTAGTAAAAAAGTGTCAGTTCTCTGAAGCAGCGACTGTATATGAAATGTTGAGTCTGTGAAAATCATGGTATTTCAGCATTTGATGTTAAGAAATGATATAGATATACTCAGTCCTTATGTTTTGGTAGGTTGGAGTGAGGTATCACAGAGAAACCTTTGAAGGGAGGCTTTTTTTTTTTTTAAGAAGGTCTCATTCTGTCACCCAGGCTGGAGTGCAGTGGCACGACCTTGGCTCACTGCAACCTCTGCCTTCTGGGTTCAAGTGATTCTCTTGCCTTAGCCTCCCAAATTAGCTGTGATTATGGTATAAGCCACCATACCCAACTAATTTTTTTGTGTTTTTAGTAGAGACGGGGTTTCGTCATGTTGGCCAGGCTGGTCTCGAACTCCTGACTTCAAGTAATCCACCCACCTCAGCCTCCTAAAGTGGTGGGATTACAGGCATGAGCCACCATGACCAGCCGATGTGTGCTTGAAATTATACCCAGAGAGGTTGGTTAGTTGAGACTAATAGTGAGCTATGATAGTGTGATGGTCTCAAATTCTTTTTTCTTCTTTTTTTTTTTTTAATAGAGGCAGGGTCTTAGTATATTACCTAGGCTGCTCTCAAATTCCTGGGCTCAAGCAATCTTCCCACCTCGGCTTCTGAAAGTGTTGGGATTACAGGTGTGAGCCACTGAGCTGGGCCCTCCAAATTCTTTTTTCTTTTTTTTGAGACAGAGTCTTGCTCTGTCACCCAGGCTGAAGTGCAGTGGTTTGATCTCGGCTCACTGCAACCTCTGCCTCCCAGGTTCAAGCGATTCTCCTGCCTCAGCTTCCTGAGTAGCTAGGATTATAGGCACCTACCATTACGCCCGGCTAATTTTTGTAGTTTTAGTAGAGATAGGGCTTCACCATGTTGACCAGGCTGGTCTAGAACCCCTGACCTCAGGTGATCCGACCGTCTTGGCCTCCCAAAATGTTGGGATTATAGGCGTGAGCCACCGTACCCTGCTGGGCCCTCCAAATTCTTAAAGGAATGTACCTGTCCAGCGGACTCTCTCCACAGGGTGGTTTTCTAACCCAGGGGTCAGCAAATTTTTTCTATCAGGGGCCACGTAGTAAATCTTTTAGGCTTTGCAGGTCATATGGTCTCCTTTTTTTTTTTTTTTTTTTTTTTTTTGAGTCTCTCACTGTCTCCCAGGCTGGAGTGCAGTGGTGTGATCTTGCCTCACTGCAACCTTCGCCTCCTGGGATCGAGCAATTCGCCTGCCTCAGCCTCCTGAATAGCTGGGATTACAGGCGCTGGCCACCACGCCCGGCTAATTTATTGTATTTTTAGTAGAGACGGGGTTTCACTGTGTTGACCAGGCTGGGTTCAAACTCCTGACCTTGTGACCCACCTGCCTCAGCCTCCCAACGTGTTGGGATTACAGGCAGGAGCCACCATGCCTGGCCTCATATGGTCTCTTTTGGAACAACTCAGCTTTGCCATTGTAGCATAAAGTGGGCAGAGGCAATACATAAATGAATGAATGTGGCTGTATTCCAATAAAACTTTATTAGCACAGGCTGCTGGCCTGAGGGCTGTGGTTTGCCAACCCCTGCTCTAGACCCACCATCAGGTTCATATGTTCTTTGGGCTGCCTAGGCTAGGCTCCCATCCCGCTCTTGATACATATATCTTTTCTTTACACAGGATAAAGGGCAGTTAATTGTTGTTAGTGGGCTTCATACAGTGACTATGATTAGGAATGAATGAAGCATTAAGTAACATTTGAACATGATATTTGAGTTTACACTGTGATGCCTTTTTTTTTTTTTTTTTGAGACAGAGTTTCGCTCTTATTGCCCAGGCTGGAGTGCAATGGTGCGATCTCAGCTCACTGCAACCTCCACCTCCTGGGTTCAAGCAATTCTCCTGCTTCAGCCTCCCGAGTAGCTGGGATTACAGGCATGTGCCTCCACACCCGGCTAATTTTTTTTTTTTTTTTTTGAGATGGAGTCTCGTTCTATTGCCCAGGCTGGAGTGCAGTGGCGCAATCTCAGCTCACTGCAAGCTCCGCCTCCCAGGTTCACGCCATTCTCCTGCCTCAGCCTCCTGAGTAGCTGGGACTACAGGCATGCACCACCACACTTGGCTAATTTTTTTTTTTTTTTTTGAGATGGAGTCTTGCTCTGTTGCCCAGGCTGGAGTGCAGTGGCACAATCTCAGCTCACTGCAAGCTCCGCCTTCCGGGTTCACGCCATTCTCCTGCCTCAGCCTCCTGAGTAGCTGGGACTACAGGTGCCTGCCACCATGCCCGGCTAATTTTTTGGTATTTTTTAAATAGAGACAGGGTTTCACCATGTTGGTCAGGCTGGTCTCGAACTCCCGACCTCAGGTGATCCGCCCACCTCAGCTTCCCAAAGTGCTGGGATTACAGGGTGAGCCACTGCGCCCGGCCAATGCCCTATCTTTTAAAAATACAGTTAAATAGGTAAAAGGCTAAGGATCCCAGAGTTCCTATTGTGTTACTTCTTGATGTGGTGGGCTGAGTCTAACAAGAAAAGTTTCTTTTTTTTTTTTTTTCCAATTTAGGGACCTGCCACTTCAGGAGAGAAAAGTTTTTTAATGTAATGTTTGATATAAAAGCATGCGTAATACACATAAAGTATAATGAACACACACATGTATATATGTGTTTATATATGCATACATATACATACACATGCTTACATAACAATCAACCTAAGAACTAGATTACTATCTCAGTGTTCTTTTTTTTTTTTTTGAGACAGATTCTTGCTCTGTCACCCAGGCTGGAGTGCAATGGCACGATCTCAGTTCACTGCAAGCTCCACCTCCCAGGTTCATGCCATTCTCCTGCCTCAGCCTCCCTAGTAGCTGGGACTACAGGCGCCCGCCATGACGCCTGGCTAAATTTTTGTATTTTTTTAGTAGAGACGGGGTTTCACCGTGTTAGCCAGGATGGTCTCGATCTCCTGACTTCGTGATCCGCCCACCTCGGCCTCCCAAAGTGCTGGGATTACAGGCGCAAGCCACCGCGCCCCGCCACCCTGTTCTTTTTTAAAATCATTCCTTTTCTCCCTCCCAGCTCCACCAGTGTATATTCCATTTTGAATTGTATAAAGCAGAATGAAATTTAATTGATATAAATGTTAACATTTTGTACTCAGTTTCAAAAAGTGATCTCCACAATTGAAAAGAAACAGAAATACTTACGGGGAAAGGGGAAACGGAAGACCTGCAGGTTTTAGCAGGTCAATTAGAATTGACTTTGTTCCAGGAAAAGCCAATTTGCTCTTAATATCATTAAGGGAAATGTGTTATCTGGACTGAGAAGTGGTGGTCATGCTCTGTTGTGTGCTGGTTAGGCCACAGCTAGAGTATTATACTTTCCTGTTGTTGTCATGTGTGTGAGAGGTATAGAAAACCAGGAATGCATTCATGGATAAGTATTCACACTAATGACACAACCTGAAAATATGCATCTGGAGGCCAGGTCATTGGGTGTGTAACTTGTGAAAGAGAACAGTCAAGAGACGTGAGAGAAGCCTTCAGCAATTTAGAGGTCATTCAGCAGAAGTGGTCCTGTGGGGCACAGTTAGGCCAGTGGAAGATGTGGGGCAGCAGCAACAGCTCCTAATCACTCTCAGGTCACAGGACCCTTTGGAAATCTGAACACTGCAGACCTTTCAGAAAAGCAGACATACCACTTGCATACCATTTCAGATTTGCAAACCCCAGGCATCCCCTGATCTCAATTTATAAGAGCTCTTGCTATATTGACAAAATATCCCACAGTCAAAAGACAGCTGACAAATTGAGAGAACATATTTGCAATGTATATCAGAGATAAAGGGTCTATATCTGTAATACATGAAGAACTCTTGAATTGAGGAATGAAGAACCAAACCCAATAGAAAAATGATAAGACTTGGGCTAGGTGTGGTGGCTCACACCTGTAATCTCAGCACTTTGGGAGGCTGAGGCGGGAGGATGATGAGGTCAAGAGATTGAGACCATCCTGGCCAACATGGTGAAACCCCATCTTTACTAAAAATGCAGAAATCAGCTGGGTATGGTGGTGCATGCCTTTAGTCCCAGCTATTCGGGAGGATGAGGCAGGAGAATTGCTTGAAACTGGGAGGCAGAGGTTGTAGTGAGCCGAGATTGTGCCACTGCACTCCAGCCTGGCGACAGAGTGAGACTCCCTTTCAAAAAAAGAAAAAGAAAAAAATGGGAAGACTTGATAATGAACTGTGTGTGTGTGTGTTTGTGTGGTGTATGTGTGTGTGTGTGTGTGGTGGTGGTGGTTAAACATAAGAGATGGTCAGCCTCGTGTAATTAGAGAAATGCAAAGTTAACCAGAGATACCACTTTTTTCCCTTTGATTTAAGGGTGTCGCTTTTTGACTATCAGATGGGTGAAAATGAAAATGTATGACAACGTATCTGGTTCAAGCAAGGCTATGAGGAAACAGACATTCTAATACATTGCTGGTGGGAATGCAAACTGATACAACCTTTCTGAGGAGCAGTTTGGCAACATTTAACAAAACTATTGGTGCCTCGACCTGTTCACCGAACACTTTAAGGAAACCTGCCTTAAAAGATAGACTTCTAGGCCTGTAATCCTAGCGCTTCGGGGGGCCGAGGCGGGTGGATCACCTGAGATCAGGAGTTCGAGACCAGCCTGGGCAACATGGTGAAAGCCTGTCTCTACTAAAAATACAGAAATCAGCTGGGCGCAGTGATGCATGGCCGTAATCCAAACTACTTGGGAGGCTGAGGCGGGAGAATCGCTTGAACCCCAAAGGCGGAGGTTGCAGTGAGCCAAGATGGCACCACTGCACTCCAGCCTGAGTGACAGAGCGAGACTCCGTCTCAAAAAAAAAAAAAAAAAAAAAAAACAGTGGCCAGGCGCGGTGGCTCACACCTGTGATCCCAGCACTTGCGAGTACGAAATGGGTGGATTGCCTGAGGTCTGAGGTCAGGAGTTCGAGACCAGCCTGGCCAACCTGGTGAAACCCCCATCGCTACTAAAAATACAAAAAATTAGCCGGGCGTGTGGCGGTCGCCTGTAATCCCAGCTACTCGGGAGGTTGAGGCAGGAGAATAGTTTGAACCCAGAAGAAAGGGTTGTAGTGAGCCGAGATTGCACCATTGTCACTCCAGCCTGGGTGACAAGAGCAAAACTCTGTCTCAAAAAAAAAAAAAAAAGATACACTTCTAGCAGTATAACAATACTTAATACACAAGGTTGTTCTTTTCAGCAGTTTTTAATTGCAAAATATTGGAAACAACCTAAATGCCCATATATAGGAGAGAGATTGAATACATTATGGCATAAGGTATTTACATACATGGAGTATTATCCAGCTATAATAACAAGGAAGATCTCTATATACTGATATGGAGTGATTTCCAGGTGTGTCAGGGGTCCCCAAAACCAGCAGGTTTTCAGAGTTGCTGAAACTCACAGGACTCAGCATTTAGTTGTTCTCACAGCTACAGTTTATTGCAGTGAAAGGATACAAAGAAAATCAGCAAAAGGGAAGCAGGCATAGACCAAAGTCCAGAGGAAATCCAGTGCAAGCTTCCAAGAGTCCTTTCCTAGTGGAGTCATACACACTTAACCTCCTTCAGGAACAAATTGTGACAACACGTATGAAATATTGTCTACCATGGAAGTTTGTTAGTGGGTCAGTGCTCAGGGATTTTACTGGGGACTGGTTGCATGGACATCCTCTGCCTGGCACATAGCAAAATTTCCAACTCCTAGAAGGAAAGCAGGTGTTTAGCATAAACCACGTTATAGTGTAGGCACAGTGAGACACTCCTGTTTAGGGAATGGTGGAAACTCCCAAACTCTAGTTCCCAGATGCTAGCTAAGGCTGACCCTGCAGGTAGACCTTTCTAAGGACAGCAGTCAGGCCTGCTCTGTTGACTCACTTCTGTAAACTAAGATATGCTGTTAAGTAAAAAATGCAAATCAATATCTATAGTGTTGTCCTTTCCATGCAAGAAAGAAGAGGAAATAAGCATATATAGAAGTATCTGCTTATTTGTATAAAACCTATACACAAGTACACATGGGAAGGATAAACCAGAAACTAATGAATTTGATTACCTATCCTGAAAGAATGGGGGAATGGAAATGGAATAGAAAGGGTAGGAGAAACTGGCACTTCTGTAAGTACATCTTTTGGTATAGTTCTAACTTCATACTTGAAAAATAACTAACTAGACAACTGGGATGTGAGATGGGCCCAAAGCTGAATAGAAACTATAACAAGTGAGTCTTAACTGTATTACAAATGAATAACAAAACCAATGGGGAGGGTAGCCCACATTACTTTAGCAAACAGTAATTCGACTATATCCTCTTAAAGAATAAAGTCAAAAAAGAATAGAAAATATTAGTAAATTTGTTTCTCACAGGGGTAGGACTTAGCCATTTCTAAACAAAATGCCTATATGTGTTCTAGGATTGGGGAAATAAGTAAATATATGTGGATAATGAGAGCCAGTTTTCTCTCAGAGAAATAAATTACAAAGGAGGGGTGGCAAACATGAACCCTGACCCAAACATGAACTCCATGAATTGGAGTTATCTTTTTTTTTTTTTTTTTTTTTTTTTTTTGAGACAGTCTCACTCTGTCACGCAGGCTGGAGTGCAGTGGTGCGATCTTGGCTCGCTGCAACCTCCTCCTCCTGGGTTCAAGCAATTCTCCTGCCTCAGCCTTCCAAGTATCTGGGACTACAGGCTCATACCACCAGGCCTGGCTAACTAATTTTTTGTATTTTTAGTAGAGACGGGGTTTCACCGTGTTAGCCAGGATGGTCTCAATCTCCTGACCTCGTGATCCGCCCACCTCGGCCTCCCAAAGTGTTAGGATTATAGGCATGAGCCACGGCGCCCAGCCTAACATGGGGTTCTTAATATATACACATAGAAATGGAAATACTTGAGTGTATACGATAGGGCCTAGAGGTAGCAACAGACACCTTGTAGCAATGAGCACACCTAGTCTTGG
Source organism: Homo sapiens (assembly GCF_000001405.40). NCBI lineage: Eukaryota > Metazoa > Chordata > Mammalia > Primates > Hominidae > Homo > Homo sapiens. Next base: position 31,731,171 of record NC_000022.11, on the reverse strand, counting down.
CTCTAAATACTTTTTTCCGATAAAAGAAACCAAGATTCCTTGGAGAAATGGCTGTTCCAGGACAGGAGAGGGAAAAACGCAAGATGTGCCCGGAGCAATTTGTGGCCAAATGCTCAGAAAATTATGGGGATATATCAGAAGGACACAGCAGCCAACTTGAAGGGGCTCCCAGTGGCCAAGTATGGGATGATTTGAGCTTAAAATAAATGATAGTGATGAATTATTCGACACTTACTTTTGCAGCAACCTGTAGTACCCATAGAATAAGACAAATACCCATGAGCCCGTTTGCTGACTTTCTTTGTATCCTTTCACTGTAATTGAATTAAAAGTGAGAAAAGAAAGGTCTTACAGAATTCCAATTAATATATATGGAATGATGGAAATAGAAAAAACACTGTTTGGCAACCATCACAATAATAATTATCTCAAGCAGGAATCATTAATGGTTGTTAAAGCTAGTGGCTAAATGTTTGGGAAACAAATATTTACATAGTCTCGAAGTATTTCCCTACAAGATATTTATTAGTTACAAAGGTGGAATAGTAACTTCACAATGGAGAAACCTGGCAGAATCCACCCAAACCAAGTGATAGAAGTTTGCCCCCAGGAATGAGGCACCCTAACACCGTGATAGGACAGTGCCTCCTGATAGGACACTGCCCCCAATAGGACACCATGAGGAGAACCAACATCACTTCTGTGGTATTCTTTTTTTTTTCTTTTTTGAGACGGAGTCTCGCTCTGTAGCCCAGGCTGCAGTGCAGTGGCACGATCTCAGCTCACTGCAACCTTCGCCTCCCGGGTCCCGGTTCAAACAGTTTTTCTGCTTCAGCCTCCTGAGTAGCTGGGATTACAGGCACGTGCCACCATGGCCAGCTAATTTTTGTATTTTTAGTAGAGACAGGGTTTCACCATGCTGGCCAGGCTGGTCTTGAGTTCCTGACCTTGTGATCCACCCGCCTTGGCCTCCCAAAGTGCTGGGATTACAGGCATGAGCCACAGCGCCCGGCGATTTTTTTTTTTTTTTTTTAGACTGAGTCTCATTCTGTTCTCCCAGTGCAGTGACATGATCTCAGCTCACTGTAACCTCTGCCTCCTGGGTTTAAGCAGTTCTCTGCCTCAGCTTCCCAAGTAGCTGGGACTACAGACATGCAACACCATTCCTGCCTAATTTTGTATTTTAGTAGAGATGGGGTTTCACAGTTGACCTCAGGTGATCCGCCCACCTCGGCCTCCCATAGTGCTGGGATTACAGGCGTGAACCACCGTGCTCGGCCCAAAAATATGCAGTTCAGTCACATTAAGCACATTCGTAGTGTTGTGTAACCATCACCACCATCCGTCTCCAGAACTTTTCTTATCATCCCAAACTGAAACTCAGTACGCATTAAATAGTAACTCACCATTCTCCCCTTACCCCGTCTTTGACAACAACCATTCTACTTTCTGTCTCTATGAATTTGACTACTCTAGGTACATCATTCAAGTGGAATCATATGGTATTTGCTGTTTTGTTACTGGTCTTAATATTTTTAAAAGTTAAATATTCCAATCATGAAACAAATATTTCAATCATGAGAAGTTAAACCAGTAAAATAATAATAATTTCCTGTCTTAGGATCGTGTCCCAAAGTTATTAAAACTTGTAACTAGGCCGGGCGTGGTGGCTCACGCCTGTAATCCCAGCACTTTGGGAGGCCAAGGTGGGCAGATCATCAGGTCAGGAGATCGAGACCATCCTGGCTAATACGGTGAAACCCCATCTCGCCTAAAAATACACACACAAAAAATTAGCCGGGCGTAGTGGCGGGTGCCTGTAGTCCCAGCTACTCCGGAGGCTGAGGCAGGAGAATGGCGTGAACCCGGGATGTGGAGCTTGCAGTGAGCGGAGGTTGTGCCACTACATTCCAGCCTGGGCGACAGAGCGAGACTTCGTCTCAAAAATAAATAAATAAATAAATTTGCAACTAATAATTTTGGGATTTGATCAAGATCACCCTGCTGAGGGTGAACTATCTTAGAACAGGCACAGTGGAAGGGACAGCTGCAAGAGCCAAGCTGAATTGTGAAAGAATGTATTCAGTTCTGAACTCCACTCTTGTAGGAGGAAGGTCAAAATCTGTTACGCATGCAAAGGTTACTAGCAAGGATGTGGAATAGATTGGTCTTATTTAAGAACTGTGCACCAAAGATAATCAGAGATGGACATGTGACATCCCACATGGATGATTTAGCATTGAGAACTCTATACCATGCTTGGTTTTTATTGTTTGTTTTTTTGGTGCTTACATATAAGCTATAGAGTGTTAAACTTTTTACATATTTTTTTCCCCATAATGGTAGATCCACCTGGGTTGAATATGTTGTAAACACTTTGGTTCTAGGATACAATACATTGGTTGTATTCAACTCAGACACAGAAAAAGTTCAGAATTTTTTTTTTTTTTTTTTTTTGAGATGGAGTCTACTCTGTCGCCCAGGCTGGAGTGCAGTGGCACAATCTGAATTGTCTTTTAACTGTAACATACAAAAGCGTAGTATACGTTTTTTTTTTTTTTTCGAGATGAAGTCTCTGTCACCCAGGCTGGAGTGCAGTGGCGCGATCTCCGCTCACTGCAACCTCCGCCTCCTGGGTTCAAGCCATTCTCCTGCCTCAGCCTCCAGAGTAGCTGGGATTACAGGCACCCGCCACCATGCCCAGCTAATTATATATTTTTTAGTAGAGACAGGGTTTCTCCATGTTGGTCAGACTGGTCTCAAACTCCTGACCTCAGGTGATCCGCCCTCCTCGGCCTCCCAAAGTGCTGGGATTACAGGTGTGAGCCACTGCCCCCGGCCCTAGGACTCTTAACTTTAGGAATCCTGAAAGTTAGAACATTTAGCTGATAAAATATTGTAGAAAAAGGAAATTGCATCTGATACATTTCTGCTAGTTCATCATATGATTGGCTATTTTGGAGCAGGTGGGGGACGTTACAGAGGTTATCATGTTACATGTCCATTGCATCCAAGTAGGTTGTTCTGTTGCCCTCATCCATATTCAGGAGCCCAGACTAGCAGAGCTCCCACTGGATCTGGAGGTTGCCCACCACCATGGTAAGGCTGTTGGGGGAGGTCTCTCACATTTGACCTCAGCCCACACTCTTTTATTGTCGATTGATTCAATTTCTTTTCTTTTTTTTTTTTTTCTGAGACAGTGACTTGCTTTGTTGCCCAGGCTGGAGTGCAGTGGCATGATCTTGGCTCACTGCAGCCTCCTCCTGGGTTCAAGTGATCCTCCTGCCTCAGCACCCCTAGTAGCTGGGATTACAGGCACGCACCACCATACCCAGCTAATTTTTGTATTTTTAGTAGAGATGGGGTGTCATGATGTTGGCCAGGCTGGTCTTGAACTCCTGACCTCAGGTGATCCACCCACCTCAGCCTCCCAAAGTGCTGGGATTAAAGGCGTGAGCCACTGCACCCGGCCCTGATTCATTCAATTTCTGATTATATTTCAGATTAACACAAACCTTGTAGAGTCTCCAGCCTTCCTGTGAGGGATAACTTGCTTTTCTTAACTCAGAACCTTTTAAGAGAAGTCAATAAGTCAGGGAGGAAGTCTCTCTTTCCCTGTTAAGAATTGTGGCTAATCAGCCGCGCATGGTGGCTCACGCCTGTAATCCTAGCACTTTGAGAGGCCAAGGTGGGTGGATTGCCTGAGCTCAGGAGTTCGAGACCAGCTTGAGCAACAACGGTGAAACCCTGTCTCTACTAAAATACAAAAAATTAACCAGGTGTGGCGGCGTGCACCTGTAGTCCCAGCTACTCAGGAGGCTGAGGCAGGAGAATCGCTTTAACCCAGGAAGCAGAGATTGCAGTGAGCCGAGATCGCACCACTGCACTCCAGCCTGGGCAACAGAGTGAGACTCCATCTCCAAAAAAAAAAAAAAAAGAATTGTGGCTAATCAAGGAAAAGGAACATGGTCGAAACAGTGGGCTTGGCACTCCACCAGGGTATTTTGGGGCCTCCAGCTAGCGGCACCTTAGAGCCACAAGTGGGACGAAGCAAAATCCCACCAACCCCTCTGGGGCTGGATCCACTAAGATTTCATTGCATTAGCTCACCAGAGACCTTTGGGATCTGAAGGAGCCTGTATGTCACTGGCCTGTGCTGTCACTTTACAGAGGCTCCAATAGCCTTGGAAAAGCTTATGGAAGTCATTCCAGAAACGTGCCAGAATCTGTCCGTGACAGCTCTGTTGGCTTTTCTCACAGAACGGGATGGATAACAGGTGTCTACAGTCTCATGAAGAATGGAAGCTTCTGCTCATGGAGCACCCTGTCCTGACTGGGTGTTTTGCTGGGTGTTTTATATGGTTTCCATGTATTCTTTCAGCCACTTGTAAGGTTGCTGTCAGCACCATGTAGTTAGTAGGTGAGAGTCCTTGGGTTGGAACAGAACTCAGGCACTCTCCCTTTTCCATGAAGTGTTAACTTGAAAGAATATTTTAAATAGCATCTATTCTCACACCTCAAACATTCAGCCTGAGAACTGGAAAAGCAGAGAATAGTAACATTTGGGAGAAAGGATCAAATATAACTACAGATAAATATTTTCTTGGCCAGGCGCGGTGTCTCATGCCTTTAATCCCAGCTCTTTGGAAGGCTGAGGTAGGCAGATCACTTGAGGTCAGGAGTTTGAGACTAGCCTGGCCAACATGGTGAAACCCTGTCTCTACTAAAAATACAAAAATTAGGCCGGGCACAGTGGATCACGCATGTAGTCCCAGTACTTTGGGAGGCCGAGGCAGGTGGATCACCTGAGGTCAGGAGTTCAAGACCAGCCTGGCCAACATGGGGAAACACTGTCTCTACTAAAAATATAAAAATTAGCTAGGCATAGTGGTGGGCGCCTGTAATCCCAGATGCTTGGGAGGCTGAGGCAGGAGAATTGCTTGAACCCATGAGGCAGAAGTTGCAGTGAGCTGACAGCGCGCACAGTCTTGGCTCACTGCAACCTCTGCCTCTAAAAAAGTTTTTTTTAGACCTCTGTTATTGTCACAACTTTAAAAAGTTTTCAGGCTCAAATTCTAGATAAGTAGAAATTTTTATTGTTTACCCTTACTTAAATTTGAGGTTTCCTTCAGTGCCCAATCCTTGTGACTGCTAGCTAATTTCCCAAAGTCATAAAGAAGTCTCTCAAAAATAACTAATATTCAGCCAGGCGTGGTGGCTCACGCCTGTAATCCTAGCACTTTGGGAGGCGGAGGCGGGCGGATCACTTGAGGTCAGGAGTTCAAGACCAGCCTGGCCAACATGGTGAAACGCTGTCTGTAGTAGAAATACAAAAATTAGCCAGGCGTAGTAGTGGGTGCATGTAATCCCAGCTACTTGGGAGGCTGAGACAGGAGAATACCTTGAACCTTGGAGGTGGATGTTGCAGTGAGCCACGATCTAACCATTGCACTTCAGTCTGGGAACAGCAAGACTCTGTCTCAAAAAATAATAATAATAATAATATTCATTAACTCAGAATCTTCTGAATCCCCCTTGACCACTGGATTTTCTTACTGTAGGAGGATCTCCTGATGCAGTCCAGCAAAGAACTTTCACATGTGGACCTCCCTGAAGATTTTCTAAGGAGCAAAGGTATTTATTTCTCTCAAATCTCTTCCTTTATCCACTTACTGCAAATACTGTTTTAGTTCCGCTTCCATTTTGCATTGAGAATATAAGGGTTGTAAGTCCTTGCCTTGTAAGGTGTACTTAACTATAGAAACTGTAACTTCACTGTAGATCGTATCTTAGTATTGCCCATGGATGTACTTGCACAGTGCACTGCAGCCTCAACCTCCCGGGCTCAAGTGATCTTCATACCTCAGCCTCCCAAGTAGCTGGGACTACAGGCGTGACCCACCATGCCTGACTGATTTTGTAAATTTTTTTTTGTATTTTGTAGAGGCAAGGTCTCACCATGTTGCCTAGGCTGGTCTCGAACTCCTGGGCTCAAGTGATCCTCCTGCCTCTGCCCCACAAAGTGCAGGATTACAGGCATGAGCCACCGCACCCAGCAAGTCCCTTTCTTTTGAGTGTGTTGAACCTTTGTTGGATTTTATATCATCAAATATACTGTATTTGCCTGTTTAGAAGGGTTAACTGGAACAGGGGAGACATGTACCCAGTATAGTTCAGCATGTGGTAGTGTATCATTTTCTTGTTCTGTGGGGTCAGGGATGAGATAAAATGTTTACTCCAGGTCACCCTGAGAGTTTTCAAGGCAGTTTGATTACCTCTTTTTGCTCCTCAAAACAATGGTTGGGTATAGAGTTCTGAGATTATTACTTTTAGGTTGGTTGACTGATTGAGGAGGAAGCTGAGGTCCAAAAGAGAGTAGCTGAGGTAAGGTTCTCCTCTTCTCACCCCAAGGCTAAAAATAAACTTAGATTACTTTAGAGAGGTCTATGTGTCAAGGCTAATACAGAATCATCAGGCTGGGCACAGTGGCTCACGTCTGTAATCCCAGCACTTTGGGAGGCCAGGGTGGGAGGATTGCTTAAGTCCAAGAGTTTGAGATTAGCCTGGGCAATGTGGCGAAACCCCTTCTCTACAAAAAATGCAAAAATTAGCATGGCAGCACACACACCTGTGGTCCCAGCTACTCGGGAGGCTAAGGCAGAAGGATACTTGAGCCCTGGGAGGTTGAGGCTGTAGTGAGCCGTGATCACACCACTGTACTCCATCCTGGGCAACAGAGCAAGACCCTGTCTCAGAACCTCACAAAGAGAAGATAAAGTGAATACGCTAAGTCAGTGGTCCCCGACATTTTTGGAGTCAGGAACCTGTTTCGTGCAAGACAGTTTTTCCACAGATCTGGTGGGGTGGATGCTTTTAGGATGATTCAAGTGCATTGCATTTATTGTGCACTTCGTTTCTATTATTATTCCATTGTAATATATAATGAAATAATTATACAACTTCCCATAATGTAGAATCAGTGGGAGCCCTGAGCTTGTTTTCCTGCAACTAGGTGGTCCCCTCTGGGGTTGATGGGCGACAGTGACAGATCATCAGGCATTAGATTCTCATAAGGAGCTCACAACCTAGATCCCTTGCATGTACAGTTCACAATAGGGTCCACGCTCCTATGAGAATATAATGCTAGTGTTTATCTGGCAGGAGGCGGAGCTCAGGCAGTAATGCAAGCATGAGGAGCAGCTGTAAATGCAGATGAAGCTTTGCTCACTTGCCTGCTTCTCACCTCCTGCTGTGCCGCCCGATTTCTAACAGACCAAGGATGGGTACTGGTCCATGGCCCAGGGTTGGGGACTGCTGCATTAAATTATATGACTATTTTGTTACTGTGATGAAACATCAGATTTGACTCTTAGCTTCTCGGCAGCCTGGACAGAAAAGGAAGCACCAATCTTTCTTATGAAAAAGGACATTTGTCCCAGTTTATCACCCAGCTTCCTGCTGCTGCAGATTTCTTCTGTGGCTCAGAGGCTTCACTGTCCAGTGTAGATTAAAGGACATTCCTCCGAAGATGAGAAATGGTGTTTTGTACATAAATCTCACCCTGTTCTTAGAGGCTTACTAGGGATACAGTTTAGTGGGCCCCTAACCCCACCCCCAAGATCTGTTTAGTTGGGCTCCAGTATTGCTGTATTCAGTCTTTGGTATATTTTCACCCACATCTTACCACAGAATTTACTGTCTGTTGAACTACACTTTCATTTAACCACTGAACTGGCCTTTTAAACAGGAGAACCAGGGTTATTTTCTGCTTGGAAATCTGCCTTTTCAAAATTACCTGGCTACTCTCCACCTAAGAAGCTGGTCCACATTGGACATAGATAAGATGAACTCTCCTGAACAGTATCTGCAGCTAAATTACTCTGTGACACTTTTCTTCATGTTCTAATATCATGCTTATTTAATGACTTAAATTGGTAAAATATTTGATTTTTTTTCTCCCCCAAACCCATGGATAAGGGTCTCAGTTTGGTATAGGCGAGCTTGAAATCAGCATCTCTACTAGAGTTTTTAGCAGCAATGGCCTAGTTCATTCTGTCCCCCAAGAACATTCCAGGGTATTCCTGTGTTGCATGTGAGGAAGCAGGCTCAGCTGTCCAAAGTCATAGCCAGTCATAGCAAGCCAGAGAAGAAGATTCTGTGGAGACAGGCCTGTGAAGATGTTGAGCCCTGGGAGCATGAGCAATATATGCCATCACCATGGATTTGATTTAAATAGACCCACGTTCTCTTCTGTAGTGTGGCCAGCATTTTGGCTTGCTCTGCCAAGGTCAGGCATCTGCTACTTTATCTTTACTGTGGAATTAAGAACTGAATGATGCCGGCTGGGCGCAGTGGCTTACACCTGTAATCCCAGCACTTTGGGAGGCCGAGGCAGGCAGATCACGAGGTCAGGAGATCAAGACCATCTTGGCTAACACAGTGAAACCCCATCGCTACTAAAAATACAAGAAAAAAAACAAAATTAGCCAGGCATGGTGGCGGGCGTCTGTAGTCCCAGCTACTTGGGAGGCTGAGGCGAGAGAATGGTGTGAACCCCGGAGGTGGAGCTTGCAGTGAGCGGGGATCGCTCCACTGCACTCCAGCCTGGGCAGCAGAGCAAGACTCCGTCTCAAAAAAAAAAAAAAAACTGAATGATGCCTCTTAGAAACCAAGCTTGTCTCCAGGGCTCCAGCTGCCAAAATCTTCACTCTGCCCCACCCAGATTTAAGTTTTCTTTCTTTTTTTTTTTTTTTTCTTTCTGTCACCCAGGCTGGAGTGCAGTGGCACGATCTTGGCTTACTGCAACCTCCGCCTGCCGGGTTCAAGCAATTCTCCTGCCTCAGCCTCAAATAGCTGGGACTACAGGCACGTGCCACCATGCCCGGCTGATTTTTTTGTATTTTTAGTAGAGACGGAGTTTTACCATGTTGGCCAGACTTGTCTCAAACTCCTGACCTCAGGTGATCCACCCGTCTCAGGCTCCCAAAGTGCTGAGATTACAAGTGTGAGCCACCGCGCCCGGCCCAGATTTAAGTTTTCTCGATGAAAATCTAATATATACTTACTACCTTTGTTTCATTAAGTGTTTGCATGGTTGAGCACTGTGCAAATTACTTTACTTGATTTTATTTATTACGTTTTGGTTATTCTGAGTGGGAGGACTTCAGTGTAATTATAAATTGGCTGAGGAATGATTTGGGATCCCCTGCACCAAGTTGTTTAGTAAGTGAACCTCTGCTACTACACTCTCCCCTCAGTGCATTATTTTTACTTCTCTATATAAATGTCCCACTGTCAGTACTATCAAATTACCATGGTATTCCAGAGTTTTGGGATTCTTTTATTTAATTGATATGTAATGTGCATGGTTTGGGGGTATATGTGATAATACATCGTATAATTTGAAAAGATCAACTTGTGTACTTGGGATTTCCATCACCTTAAATATTTGTCTTTTCTGTATGGTAGAACCATTCAAATTCTTCTCTTCTGGCTATTTTGAAATATGTAATAGATAATTGTAAGCTATAGGCACAATCATATGTCTGCTGCTTGCTGCTGCTCAATTAGCTAAAACGGCAACAGATTGAACCTTTTTTTTTTTTTTTGTGAGTCTTGCTCTGTCGCCCAGGCCAGACTGCAGTGGCACTATCTCAGCTCACTGCAAACTCCGCCTCCCGGGTTCACGCCATTCTCCTGCCTCAGTCTCCCGAGTAGCTGGGACTACAGGCGTCTGCCACCATGCCCGGCTAATTTTTTGTATTTTTAGTTGAGACAGGGTTTCACCATGTTAGCCAGGATGGTCTCGATCTCCTGACCAGATTGAACCTTTTAAAAGGACTTTTGTTGTAATAACCAGAAGGAGCCTTTAATTGGTAGGATGCACTTTTGCCTATCATTCCTTATTTCTTGATTGCTGTAGGGCAGACACATGAGAAGTGGACCTGGGGGAGCAGTGGTGGGAGTGTTTGAGTTGACTGGCCATCTCACAGGGGAGATCTTCCCCATCATGGGAGATCTTCCCCATCAGGCACTCTTGCTGGTTCCTCACCCTTTCGGCTGTCCTGACTTTTAATATGCCTCTTTCAACATAATTTTCTGTTTAGTTAATTTTACAAAACTGATGTTATCAAGTTTATTTGTTTTATCTTGTTTTTCAGAGAGTTCCCTATAACTGGGCTTGTCTGGGAAGTTTATGTGTAAGAAAGGTGAAATGGTATCAGGAACAATGGCAATATTAGTTCCTACTCATTATTGTGAGACTTAATTCCCACAGTAGTGATTTCCATGAAGACTTATTTAGGAGGGTCACCAGAAATTGGAAGAGCATTCAGGAAATATATTTTGAGGAAGAGGTGAAAGTAGTCAAGGAGGGAAAATCTACCTTATATAATTTGGAGAACTGGATGTTTATTTTTATTTTATTTTATTTATTTTGAGATGGGTTCTCACTGTGTCGCCCAGGCTGCAGTGCAGTGGCACGATCTTGGCTCACTGCAACCTTCGCTTCCGGGGCTCAAGCGATTGTCCTGCCTCAGCTTCCCAAGTAGCTGGGATTACAGGTGCCTGCCACCGTGCACGGCTGATTTTTTTGTATTTTTAGTAGAGATAAGGTTTCACCATGTTGGCCAGGCTGGTCTTGAACTCCTGATCTCAAGTGATGTGCCCACCTCTGCCTCCCAAAGTGCTGGGATTACAGGTGTGAGCCACCACGCCCAGCTGTGTATTTACAAATTCTTGAATAGGGTAGCACCGTCTGCTGTAATAGGGAAAGCAGGCTAATTTCACAATGATAAGTATTGTGTGTTGAATCAGGATTTTGAGGCTGCCTTTTGTAAATGATTGGTATCTGAAAACCTGTGGCTTGCAGTATATAGTTGTTAATCTAATATTTGCTGACTCCAAACATTTTAAAACGCTGTGTCTAGCCTAGTTATTCTATTTTAACTGTTCTCAGGTCCAGTAAAATAAAAAAACAGAGCAAAAGAAAGGCACCTTTTATATAGCAGGCACTGTCCCACATGACATCTTACATGCATTATTTAATTTAATCCTCAGTATAGCACTGAGGTAATTGTACTTTCCCCACCTTTTACAATAAAAGAAACCAAGGCTTAGAGGTAAGTATCACAGAGCTGCAGGGCACAGTGAGTCACACCCATAATCCCAGCACTTTGAGAGGCTGAGGCGGGAGGATTGCTTGAGCTCAGGTGTTCAAGGTCAGCCTGGGCAACATAAATAACCTTGTTTCTACAAAAAGTACAAAAATTAGCCGGACATGGTGGCGTGTGCCTACAGTCCCAGCTCCTTGGGAGGCGGAGGTGAGAGGATCACTTGAGCCCAGGAGTTGGAGGCTGCAGTGAGCCATGATGGCACCACTGCACTCCAGCCTAGGCAACAAAGCGAGACCCTGTCTCAAAAAAAAAAAAAAAGTGTCACAGAGCCATGATTGAAGCTTAGCTGGTCTGGCTTCACAGTCAGGGCTCTTTCTCACAGTAATTGCTGCTCTCAGGACCTATTGAGAAATGGATAGGGAAGCCCTAGAAACTTGGTATTAATAACATTTGTTTATTTGACCTAACTATATTCGTTCATTAATTTTGTGAATATTTATTAAGTGCTCTTGTGCTTTTATATACCAGGCATTATGCTGAACTATAAGGAAGAGAACAAAACAAGATCCTTACCCTCACAGAGTTTACATTCTAGTAAGAATTAGATTTTAGATTTTTTGTTCTTTTTTTTTTTTCTTTTTTTTGAGACAAGGTCGCTTACTCTGTTACCCAGGCTGGAGTGCAGTAGTGCAATCACAGCTTATTGCAGCCTTGACGTCCTGGGCTCAAGCATCCTCCTGCCTCAGCCTCCCAAGTAGCTGGGATTAAAGGCACACACCACCATGCTCAGCTGATTTTTTTTTTTCTTTTAAATTTTTTGTAGAGACAGAGTCTCCTTGTGTTGCCCAGGCTGGTTCAAACTTCTGGGCTCAAGCATTCCTTCTGCCTCAGCCTCCCAAAGTGCTGGGGTCACCATTGTGAGGTACTGCATCAAACTCAGGAATTAGATTGTTTTGTTTTGTTTTGTTTTGTTCTTTGTTTTTTGAGACAGAGTCTTGCTCTGTCACCCAGGCTAGAGTGTAGTGGCATGATCTTGGCTCACTGCAACCTCCGCCTCCTGGATTCAAGCGATTCCCCTGCTTCAGCCTCCCCAGTAGCTGGGATTACAGGCATGTGCCACCATGCCCAGCTAATTTTTGTATTTTCGGTAGAGATGGGTTTTTGTCATGTTGGCCAGGCTAGTCTTGAACTCCTGACCTCGTGTGATCCATCCACCTCGGCCTCCCAAAATGCTGGGATTACAGGCATGAGCCACCATGCCTGGCCGATCTTTAAATAGATTTGCATTTTGCTTTTTCTGTTTAATACAGTTGTCCTGTTTTTTATATATATATATAAAATCATGTGTACATATACCCATGTTCATGTGTATAGTGTGCTAGTCAGGGTTCTCTTAGGGGAACAGAACTAATAGGAGATCACCTGAGGTCGAGAGTTTGAGACCAGCCTGGCCAACATGGTGAAACCCCGTCTCTAGTAAAAATACAAAAAAATTAGCTGGGCAGGCCGGGCGTGGTGGCTCACGCCTGTAATCCCAGCACTTTGGAAGGCCAAGGTGGGCGGATCATGAGGTCAGGAGATCAAGACCATCCTAACATGGTGAAACCCTGTCTGTACTAAAAATACAAAAAGAAATTAGCCAGGTGTGGTGGTGGGCGTCTGTAGTCCCAGCTACTCGGGAGGCTGAGGCAGGAGAATGGCATGAACCCGGGAGGCGGAGGTTGCAGTGAGCCGAGATTGCGCCACTGCACTCCAGCCTGGGCGACAAAGCAAGACTCTGTCTCAAAACAAAAACAAAAACAAAAACCCCCCCAAAAAATTAGCTGGGCGGGCCGGGCGTGGTGGCTTATGCCTGTAGTCTCAGCACTTTGGGAGGCCGAGGCAGGCGGGTCACCTGAGGTCAGGAGTTCGAGACCAGCCTGGCCAACATGGTGAAACTCCGTCTCTACTAAAACTACAAAAATTAGGCGGGCATGGTGGCGGGTGCCTGTAATCCCAGCTACTCAGGAGGCTGAAGCAGGAGAATTGCTTGAACCCAGGAAGTGGAGGTTGCAGTGAGCCAATATCGTGCCACTGCACTCCAGCCTGGGCGACAAGAGCAAGACTCCATCTCAAAAAAAAAAAAAAAAAATTAGCTGGGGGTGGTTGCAGGCACCTAGAATCCCAGCTACTCAGGAGGCTGAGGCGGGAAAATTGCTTGAGCTGAGAGGTGGAGGTTGCAGTGAACTGAGATCGCACTACTGTACTCCAGCATGGGCAACAGAGCAAGACTCTGTCTGAAAAAAATAAATAGGTAAATAAATAAATAAAGTTTTAGGTATAGTTGTTTTTTTCCAAGGACTAATTTTATCGATGACATCTAATTTCAAGTACTGAGAACATGGTCATCTAGTAAAATAAGCTGTTATTGTGAGTCTGCTTTATTAATGTTTTAAAATGAAAGCCTCTTAAGACTGAATGAGAATACAACATAGGAACATATTTCTATGTTGTATTCAGTTGTCCAGCATTGATCTGTGAACTCTGTATTAAACTTTCAGCAAGAGGCATTTGTTGAAAATTACGTTTCTGCCAGATATAGTTTTGGCCCTCTGTTATATTTTCAGAGAAGAACAAAATCAATGGTATAGCATGCTAACTTTCCAGTTTTCTTTTTGAGTTGGGTCTTCTGTTGCCCTTGGTAGCATAGCATAATAAAATGCATGAAGGTAGACCAAGTGATTTTTTATTACTGCATATTAATTTGGATTTATTTCTCTTATTCAGAAGGAAATGTACAGATTACAGCTGAAACTCTGCTAAAATCCGCCGAAGTACAAGGTATGAAGGTCAATGGGACTAAGACGGATAATAATGAAGGACACAAAAATGGCAATGTGAGTAAAGATCTCTCAGCTGGATGCGGTGAATTCCAAGAAGTAGACAAAATCATGACCAGTGATGAGGTTTCAGAAACCAGCACATTAGTTACCCCAGAACCTTTAACCTTTGTGGACCCTGTATTAACAGAAGCAACTCCTAAAGAAAAAGAATGTGAAGAATTAAAAAGTTGTCCTTGGTTGTCATTACCAGGAAACAGTGCCATTTCTAATGTGGACAATGGGAAGGAAGAGTTGTGTAAACCAAACCTGGTCTGTGAAGCAGATGACAATCACCAACAGCTTCATGGCCACCATAATGAACAACCCAGTTCTACACATGATAGTCCCACAGCCACAAGCCCTTTGAAAGAAAATTCTGAAGTTTCATGTTTCACATCAGACTTGTCTGGTCCAGAATCCAGAACAATATCCTTAGAAAACTGTGGTTTTGAAGGTGGTGGTTTGCTAAAGAGATCTGCTGAAAAGACAGACAGTTCTTATTTTTATAGGGGGGATGATCAAGGGAAGAACTTGGCTTCTAGAGAAGAAAATGAGGAACGGCTTTTGATTCCTAGGAGTGAAAGAGGTGGACCTTTTCTTTTTAATGCCAGGGAACCAGAAAAGGAGATTAGTGGTCGTTGTTCTGGTGAAAAAGAGCCTGTTGTTTCTCCAAAGGAAAATATCCACAATAACTGCATTCAAGACAGTCTCCATACAGGGAACTCTAGTTCTTTAATGCCCAATTCTTTTACTGAAGCCACAGAAGTAATGTTAAATAAAAATGATTTGAAAATTACTGTACACGTTCAAGGTAACTTGACAAACCCTGAGGACCATAAAGAAACTTTTACTAATATGAGCCATCCTGGTGGACACTCTGAAGAAAGCAGTTTTTCCTCCTTGATGCAGATTGAAGAGGCAGGACAGACAACCCCTGTAGAGCCCAATATATTAAGTAAATCTTTTTACACTAAAGACTGTAACTCCTTAGTCAGCATCCAGAGAAATCTGGAAGGCAACACCCAGTTAAATGAAGCATCATGTAATGATTTTCTGTTTGAAAGAAAATCCATTGTGAGTTTAATGCCAGAGGATCAAATAAGTCCTGTAAGTGAGGTATTAAAACCCAAGCAAGGTACTGCTCTGTTGCTACCATCCCCAGAATTTGATTACAGACCTGAGTCAGAAAAAGTTATACAGACCTCACATGATGATATTCCACTTTTAGATGAACAGAGCATAGCCTGTGAGATGAATGAACTTTCTTGTACCAATGAACTGGTTGTAAACAAAGTAGAAAGTGAATGTGTTTTAAATCAACAAGTGTCCCTTAATTCTCAAGAACATGCAAATTTGCCAACTGACTCTCTACTGCATTTAAACAAAGAGATGCCTTTAGCAACAGGCAGAGATGCCCATCAGAGCCATCACCCTCCATTAGAGGGTAGAGCAGATGTCATTGCTGATATACAAACCATTCCCATTCAGACAAAAATAAAAGACATCTCTCCACCAGGTAACCAAACCTGTGGTGCCTCTTCAAACTGTCCCACCTTAAACATCAAACCAGTAAGCCTAGAGAGAAAAAAGGAAATGGCTGATTCAGGAACAAAAGCTCTACATTCCAGGCTGCGCTCAAATAAGAGAGAAGCAGCTGGCTTTCCTCAAGTGGTCTCTGTCATAGAATGTCACAGCGTTCAATCTCAGGATATCTCTAGCTGTCATCGTGTAAGAAAAAATGTATCCCAGGAAAACATGTGTTCTGCTTCTGCTGCTTTCAAGTCCAGCAAAATCAGCCTGCAAGTTGATAACTCTTTGATAACAAAATATGAAAATGCATTTCAGCACCGTGATCACTGCTGCCAAGGAACAGGACACTCTGTGGAAAAAAGCAGCTGTAAAGTGAGTTACACATCACAGGAAAGGGAACTTGATGGGAAAGAAACGAATGGCAGCCTTCCAGGAGATAAGATCAGAAACAAAATGGTAGCAGGCTTGTTAAATAGTGGAATTTCAAACAAAACCATTCACACCTCCAGTAGCATCAAACTCAGTGAGGAAGGGCTGGAAGGAAAGGAGCAGGATGTATCCAAAGAAACTGTATTTTGTAAGTATAACATCTCTGATCATGCTATACAAGAACTAAACCAGACTGTAAACATTCCAGGTCCTGAAAAAGTGTTGGACCAGTCTCCTACTGTTATGTTCTCCAGTTTTAAAAATGTAAAATCAGTTGAAACACTCGATCAGAAGGCAGATGAAGTCCTTGACTGTCAGAGTAACCAAAACAGACCAGATGAATGCAAAAGTGAAGGTCAGTCAGCCAAGGAGATGCTAAGTAGTGACCAGAGAGAGACTGTCACCGAGCCTCACGGGGAGGTAAACCACAACCAAAAGGATCTGCTGGTCAGCTCAGGCAGTAATAACTCACTACCTTGTGGTAGTCCAAAGAAATGCAATTTGAAAGGAGCCTTTGTCAAGATGTCTGGTTGTGATGAGTCCACAGAAGGTATGGTAGACATCGTCTACACGGACTGTAGTAATAAGCTTGCAGAAGGTGTGCTGGACGTGAAGGCATCTAATCTACTGGATTGTGGTGCAAGGCAAGAGAAACTGGCATTTCAAGAGGACTCCAGGAGTACCTTGTCTCGGAGAGAACTGGATGCTGCACATACAGGAACAACTGGTCAGGATTCAGATTTCCCAGTTACTGCTGCTTCTACAGTGGACTTTCTCAAAATAAAAAAATCATGTGAAGAAAACGTATGCAGATCTTTAAAAGACTGTGAAATGGAAAAGTGTCCAGACTCTTGTGCCCATGAGATGGAGTCTGTTGCAGATCATGAACCAAATAAAAGAATATTGGGCAGAGTAAATTTGTCTTTAAATGATAGCCATTATGGACAGCAAGATAAAGGAACATCTCTCAGAGAAACACAAGAAATGACTGAAGGATCAAGACTAGAACCAAACTCTGAGTTTGGCAAAGAAAGTACCTTTGGAATTTCCTCAAAAGAGTCGATGTCTTGCCATGATGAAAGCTCTGTTTCCCTAAGAAGCCTGAAATCCATTGAAATAATGCCTTCTCAAGAAAATTCAGAAACTAATGTTAACAGTGAAGAAACTGACCTGAAAAATCTTTGTAAACCAAAAGATGGTGAAATGCTTTGTGAAAATGTAAAGGACTGCACAGTCCTTCCTGAGATGAAGGAAATAGTATCAAGAGATTGGAGTAATTCTAGTGACAGAGACAGCGTATGTACCTGTGTGGAAAAGAATGCTTGCAAAGCTTGTCACCCTCACGAGAATTCCTCTGACAGACATTTGCCTTTGACAGTGAAAACAGATATTAAAGTGAAAGGAGAAGAAACCGAAGAGCATCAGAGGGGACGACTGGGTTACTTAACTGTTGGGGAGCAATCTGAGGAGTTGGTTACCAGAGAAACTGGCGATGGCGATCCCGTGAGCAACATCTCTCAGACCCATTTTAAATGCCGGGGGATACTTAATCATGCTGAAAAACAGCAGAGCCCTGAGGTTTTGGACTACATGTTGCAGAAAGAAGAGAAATATATACGTCAACAAAAAGCACATACGATATCGCAACAGTGCATATCATCTAGTCTGTTGTTAGATGATGCACAAAATCAGAACCAACCGAAGGCTGACAAAGATGAGTCCACCATGATCAATGAAATCACCCTAGCAAAGCTGGCCAAGGACAGCATTGTGGCACAGACTCAGAAGTTAGAAGACCAGAAGGAGGAAAGGTTACATCATCCATTAAGGAAGGACACTGAGTCATGCACAAGTCCTTGCCTTCTTGGTGCCCCTCGGAAAGCACAAGACCCCTCCTCTGCTGGGTGTGATCAAATACATGGTGCCTTTGCGAAGAAAGGAGTTCTTCCCTTAAAGAAGCAGCCCCATCGAACTTGTAAGAAAGTTTCCTATCAGGAGCAAATCATTGTTGGGAGAAAAATAGGTAAAATCAGAAGTTCTGCCTTTTTAAAGAGTTCTTCCAATCCCATCCCCACAAAAGCGCACAGACTTCTCAGTTTGTGTACTCTGTCTGCACCTACACGATTAGAACCTGAAACAGCACCTACCAAGAGCTTGGTTAGTCACATACCAAAGCAGATGTCTACACCGTGCCATCCCTTGAGGAGCCTGAATTTTAGGAAGACTACCAAAGAATCAGCCTTACTAAACAAGCTGTCCATCCTTGCCTCCAAACTGGCCCCAGCCATGAAGACTCAGAAGCTAAGATACCGACGGTGTTCCTCTGAACTTCTTCCAATGGCTAAAAGCTACAAGCGCCTCAGATATAAAAGACTCCTGGACGGATTTTCATCCAGCACAGAGCAGCTGAATCCATATTTGGCAGCTAGTGGATGGGATAAGAGGCCTAACAGTAAGCCCATGGCACTTTATTCTCTCGAATCCATCAAGATGACCTTCATAGATTTGAGCAACAAGATGCCGTCCCTGCTGTTTGGTTCTGAAATCTTCCCAGTATCCTTTCATGTGAAATCATCCAGCTCAGATTGCACGACTGAGTCCTCAAGGACTTTTCCTGAGCACTGTGCTCCGGCAAGGCTTGCCTTAGGAGAGGCCCTCCAGTGCCCGTCTCAACCTCCCAAGTGGACCTTTTCTTTCTTCTTGTCCCACGGTTGCCCTGGGATGGCAACATTCAGGGAAGACACTGGCGTCCATAGTCAGACCCACACTCAGGCTCCTCCCCAGCCTCCAGCTCCTCTCCAAGACTATGGAGGCACTGCCATAGTCCAGACCAGAGCAGACTGCTCTGTCCTTGGCCTTCACACACTTCTAGCACTTTGTTCCCCAGGATGTTACCGAATCTGGACAAAAAAACGGAGCTTCTCCAGCCACATGCCTACCATGCAGAGGCTCTTCATGACCCAGTTTACACAGGGCCTGAAAGGGTTACGGTCTCCAGCCTCCATAGCAGACAAGGTCTTCTGTTCTCTGCCCTACTCGGTGGGCAGAGTCCTATCCATTTGGAGCCAGCATGGTCCTTCTGTCTGCTCCTTCGAAATCTCTTCTCTTCATTCCCCTCACTGCAAGCGGCAACCAAGTCTGGGCACCACAAGCAGGTAAAATCTGTCCCCTGTTCTTTACAAATGTCCCATATTTGCTTCCTGTCTCTGGGGAGATGAGAGGGGAACTGCGGGAAATGCAAGGCTATTTAGAGTCCTCTTGGGTCTGCATTTTCTATTTACCTTGCGAAATCTCTGCTGAGAAAAATCCAATAGTAATTCTTAAGCATAGGACCCCCACCCCCTGCTCAGTTTTCCTGTAGAACCTACTTCTGTATTTCACACCATTCTTTTTTCTGTCCATTTCATTCTTCAAACCATCAAATCTGTTGAATCTTCTTTTTTTTTTTTTTTTTTTTTTTTGATTAACTCTTCTTGCCCAGGCTGGAGTGCAGTGGTGCAATGTCGGCTTACCGCAACCTCCGCCTCCCGGGTTCAAGCGATTCTCCTCCTTCAGCCTCCTGAGTAGCTGGGATTACAGGCATGCGCCACCACACCCGGCTAAGTTTTTGTATTTTTTAGTAGAGACGGGGGTTTCTCCATGTTGGTCAGGCTGGTCTTGAACTCCTGACCTCAGGTGATCCACCTGCCTCGGCCTCCCAAAGTGCTAGGATTGCATGCATAAGCCAACCAGGCTGCTTTTATTTATTTGTTTATTTATTTATTTTTTGAAACAGTCTCATTCTTGTCACCCACGCTGGAATGCAGTG
This sequence comes from Homo sapiens, assembly GCF_000001405.40. Classification (NCBI taxonomy): domain Eukaryota; kingdom Metazoa; phylum Chordata; class Mammalia; order Primates; family Hominidae; genus Homo; species Homo sapiens. The sequence goes on along the minus strand of NC_000022.11, from coordinate 31,711,429 downwards.
GCGCAATCTCGGCTGACCACAACTTCTGCCTCCCGGATTCAAGCGGTTCTCCTGCCTTAGCCTCCCGAGTAGCTGGGATTACAGGCACGTGTCACCATGCCTGGCTAATTTTTGTATTTTTAGTAGAGACGGTTTCACCATGTTGGCCAGGCTGGTCTTGAACTCCTGGCGTCCGGTGATCCTCTCACCTTGGCTCCCAAATTGCTGAGATTACAGGCGGTAGCCACCACACCCAGCTGAATCTTCTTTTCTACTCTTGCGCCCATCTTGCAGAAAACAAACACCCATTACAAGTGAAAAACTATAAATAGTAACACACAATCGCTTGTAACATTATCTCCTTCACAAAGCACTAAACAGCCAGCACCTAACTCTGATATGTAGAGAACACAGAATAAATATATTTTTAGTTAATGAATAAATTACACAGGTATCACCAGATATGGTTTATGAACCCCTGCCTTTTGGCAATGTAGAGGCTTCAAAAATTGGCATTTACATACTTCAGCTTTAGGGTTTATAGAACTTAAAGTGAACTGGGAAGGAGTTCTTGGGGTGTGATCACTGAGAATAGTTGGAAATAATTTCGTCAATATCATTGTACCTTCTAATTGAAAATAAGAGAAGAAAAAGAATTTGAGAGTTAAACTACTCATCTCAAGAATCCCTAAAGAGTGGCCAGGTATGGTGGCTTACACCTATAATCCCAGCGCTTTGGGAGGCCGAGACAGGTGGATCACGAGGTCAGGAGATCGAGACCATCCTGGCTAACACCGTGAAACCCCGTTTCTACTAAAAATACAAAAAAAATTAGCCGGGCATAGTGGCGGGTGCCTGTAGTCCCAGCTACTCGGGAGGCTGAGGCAGGAGAATGGCATGAACCCGGGAGGCAGAACTTGCAGTGAGCCGAGATCACGCCACGGCACTCCAGCCTGGGCGACAGAGTGAGACTCTGTCTCAAAAAAAAAAAGAATCCCTAAAGAGCTGCTATACACATGATAGATAAACTCTCCTCTTTGTAATTATTTAAGTAAACAAAATATTTTTTAATTTGCCCTTACTATTGCTGTATTTGACAAATTAGACATCAAATAAAAAGCCTTAATATTCCAAATAGCTTAGGAGGGCCTTGTTCATTGTGTGTCTCTAATGTAGAATCATTGTGTGTCAGTAAAGTGGACTGGTTCAGGCGGGACGCAGTGGCTCATGCCTGTAAGCCTAGCACTTCGGGAGGCCAAGGCAGGTGGATCTCTTTAGTCCAGGAGTTTGAGACCAGCCTGGGAAACATGGCATAACGTTGTCTCTGCTAAAAAATACAAAAATTAGTCAGGCATAGTGGTGTATGCCTGTAGTCCCAGCTACTCAAAAGGCTGAGATGGGAAGATTGCTTGAACCCAGGAGGCAGAGGTTGCAGTGAGCCAGGATCACACCACTACACTCTAGCCTAGGCAACAGAGCTAGACCCTGTCTCCAAAATGTTTAATTAAAAAAACAACAGGCTGGCTACGGTGGCTCATGCCTGTAGTCCCAGCACTTTGGGAGGCTGAGGCAGGCAGATCACGAGGTCAAGAGATCGAGACCATCCTGGAAGCTGGGCACCGTGGCTCGTGCCTGTAATCCTAGCACTTTGGGAGGCTGCGGCCGGCAGATCACCTGAGGTCAGGAGTTCGAGACCAGCCTGGCCAACATGGGGAAACCCTGTCCCTACTAAAAATACAAAAATTAGCTGGGCATGGTGGCACACACCTGTAGTCCCAGCTACTTGGGAAGCTGAGGCAGGAGAATCGCTTGAATCCAGGAGGCAGAGGTTGCAGTGACCCGAGATCGTGCCACTGCACTCCAGCCTGTCAACAGAGCAAGACTCCGTCTCAAAAAAAAAAAAAAAAAAAAAAAAAACCCCACAGGCGTCTGGGTGCAGTAGCTCACGTGTGTAATCCCAGCACTTTGGGAGGCCGAGGCGGGCCTGACCGACGTGGTGAAGCCCTCTCTCTACTACAAATACAAAAAAATTTTAGCTGGGTGTAGTGGCTTATGCCTGTAATTCCAGCTACTCAGAGGCTGAGTCAGGAGGATCCCTTGAACCTGGGAGGCCGGGGTTGCAGTGAGCCAAGATCGTGCCATCGCACTCTAGCCTGGGCAACAGAGCGGGATTCTGTCTCCAAAAAAAAAAAAAAACAACAACAAATAGGCCAGGTGTGGTGGCGCATGCTTGTAATCCCAGCACTTTGGGAGGCCAAGGCAGGTGGGTCACTTGAGGCCAGGAGTTCAAGACCAGCCTGGGCAACCTAGAGAAATAAATCCCATGTCAGCTGGGCACAGTGGCTCATGCCTAAAATCCCAGCACTTTGGGAGGCCAAGGCGGGCAGATCAGCTGAGGTCAGGAGTTCGAGACCAGCCTGACCAACGTGGAGAAACCCCATCTCTACTAAAAATACAAAATTAGCCGGGTGTGGTGCACACCTGTAATCCCAGTTACTCGGGAGGCTGAGGCAGGAGAATCACTTAAACCCAGGAGTTGGAGGTTGTGCTGAGCCGAGATTGCACCATTGCACTCCAGCCTAGGCAACAAGAGTGAAACTCCGTCTCAAAAAATAAAAAATAAAAAAATAAATCCCATCTCTACTAAAAATACAAAAATTAGCCAGATGTAGTGGTGCATGCCCATAATCCCAGCTACTCAGAGGCTGAGGCACAAGAATCAGCAGAGGTTGCACTGAGCCGAGATCGTGCCACTATATTCCAGCCTGGACGGCAAAGTGAGACTCTGTCTCAAGAAAATTTCAACAGCAACAAGACTGCTGGTGGCCAGGCATGGTGGCTCATGCCTGTATTCCCAGCGCTTTGGGAGGCCAAGGCGGGCGAATCATCTGAGGTCAGGAATTCAGGACCAGCCTAGCCAACATGGTGAAACCTCGTCTCTACTAAAAACAGGAAAATTAGCTGGGTATGGTGGTTCATGCTTGTAATCCCAGCTACTCAGGAGGCTGAGGCAGGAGAATTGCTTGAACCCAGGAGGCAGAGGTTAGGGTGAGCCAAGATCGCACCACTGCACTCCAGCCTGGGCGACAGAGTGAGACTCTGTCTCAAAAATAAATAAATAAACAACAAACCTGCTGGTTTGTATTGTGTAGTTCCCTGAGCATCTTAGCAGAAAACTGAATGAATAGAAGAGTGTCAGAAAAAAAACCCAGAACATGAACATTGCTGACTAGAATTGAAAGATGAATTGCTGTTACAAGTACATGTCCTACAGTTTTTGTTTTTGTTGTTTTTTTTTCCTGAGATGGAGTTTCACTCTTGTTGCCCAGGCTGGAGTGCAGTGGTGCAATCTCAGCTCACCGCAACCTCTGCCTCCCAGGTTCAAGCGATTCTCCCACTCCAGCCTCCTGAGTAGCTGGGATTGCAGGCATGCACCACCACATCCAGCTAATTTTGTATTTTTAGTAGAGATGGGATTTCTGCATGTTGGTCAGGCTGGCCTTGAACTCCTGACCTCAGGTGATCTGCCTGCCCCAGCCTCCTAAAGTGCTGGGATTACTGGCGTAAGCCACCGCGCCCGGCCTTTAGAGTTATTTTTAAAAGTTCTCTTATTATAAAGACAGCCATGAAAATACGTTAGAGTGATTCACATTGTTTTAAATGCTGGTGTACTGCTTTTATTGTCTACTTTGTTGATATGCCTCTAAAATCTCATAATTGCTCTGCTATGTGTTTAGGGCACACAGCTTTAAATTGTGTTACTTCCGGCCAGGTGCAGTGGCTCACGCCTGTAATCCCAGCACTTTAGGAGGCTGAGTCAGGTGGATCACAAGGTCAGGAAATTGAGACCATCCTGGCTAACATGGTGAAACGCCATCTCTACTAAAAATAAAAATACAAAAATTAGCTGGGCTTAGTGGCACATGCCTATAGTCCCAGCTACTCGGGAGGCTGAGGCAGGAGAATCGCTTGAACCTGGGAAGTGGAGGTTGCAGTGAGCCGAGATCACGCCACTGCACTCCAGCCTGGGCGACAGAGCGAGTCTCCGTCTCCCAAAAAAAATAGGTTGTGCCACTTCCTCCAAACTGTTTGTTCCTGAGGTTAGGATAGATGGTAGTTACTCATTTCACCCTGTGGAGGTGTAACCCTTTTGCCCCTTTTCGTCTTCGAGAGCTCTTTCTTTCCCACCTCATGTTTCTGTTTCCTGGTGTTGAAAATTTTCTGTTTCCCTCCCTATTTCTAGCTTTTTATTTTATTTTACTTTATTTAAATTCAAATGGAAGGTAGAGGGGGTGGTATTTGTAGATACTTTTCATTGGCTCTAAAAATACCTTAACATCATGTGCCTGGGCTTAGAGTTTAGAAGTTTGCTGTTTTTCTTTTCTTTCTTCTTTTTTTTTTGAGACAGAGTTTCACTCTTGTCTCCCAAGCTGGAGTGCAGTGGCGCGATCTCAGCTCACTGCAACCTCCACCTCCCGGGTTCAAGCGATTCTCCTGCCTCAGCCTCCTGAATAGCTGGGATTACAGGCATGTACCACCACGCCTGGCTAATTTTGTATTTTTAGTAGAGACAGGATTTCACCAGGTTGGCCAGGCTGGTCTCAAACTCTTGACCTCAGGTGATCCACCCACCTCAGCCTCCCAGAGTACTGGAATTATAGGCGCGAGCCACCATGCCTGGCCAGAAGTTTGCTGTTTTTCTAAACAAGCTTACAAATGGTTTCTAGCAGGCCGGGCACTGTGGCTCATGCCTATAATCCCAACACTTTGGGAGACTGAGGTAGGCAGACCACAAGGTCAGGAGTTCGAGACCAGCCTGGCCAATATGGTGAAACCCCGTGTCTACTAAGAATACAAAAATTAACCCGGCATCCTGGCAGGTGGCTGTAGTCCCAGCTACTCGGAGGCTGAGGCAGGAGAATTCCTTGAACCCACAAGGTAGAGGTTGCAGTGAGATGAGATCGCGCCACTGCACTCCAGCCTGGGTGACAAAGTGAGACTCCGTCTCAAAAAAAAGAAAAAGGAAGAGTTTAATTATAAAGGAATTAAACTTTTAATAGTTTTCTCCTTTTTTTTTTTTTTTTTTGTGAGATAGAGTCTTGCTCTGTCGCCCAGGCTGGAGTGCAGTGGTGTGATCTCGGCTCACTGCAGCCTCTGCCTCCTGGGTTCAAGCAGTTCTCCTGCCTCACCCTCCCGGGTTCAAGCAATTCTCCTGCCTCACCCTCCCAAGTAGCTGGGATTGCAGGCATGTGCCATCATGCCTAGCTAGTTTTTGTATTTTTGTAGAGACAGGGTTTCATCGTGTTGGCCAGGCTGGTCTTGAATTCCTCACCTCAGGTGATCCACCCGCCTCAGCCTCCCCAAAGTGCTGGGATTACAGGTGTGAGTCACTACGATTGGCCATTAATTTTCTTCTATATAGCTATGTTGTTTTGTTTAGTTTGGTTTTTGAGACAGAGTCTCCCTCTGTCGCCCAGGCTGGAGTGCAGTGGTATAATCTCAGCTTACTACAATCTCCTCCTCCCGGGTTCAAGCGATTCTCCTGTCTCAGCCTCCTGAGTAGCTGGGATTACAAGTACCCACCACCACACCCAGCTAATTTTTTGTATTTTTAGTAGAGATGGGGTTTTGCCATGTTGACCAGGCTGGTCTCGAACTCCTGGCCTCAAGTGATCTGCCCACCTCAGCCTCCCAAAGTGCTGGGATTACAGGTGTGAGCCACTGTGCCCGGCTGTATAGCTATGTTTTATGTGTAACTTGGCTTTAAAGAAAATAATTGGGCCAGGCGCGGTGGCTCATGCCTGTAATGCCAGCACTTTGGGAATTTAAGGTGGGCGGATCACAAGGCCAGGAGTTTGAGACCAGCCTGGCCAATATGGTGAAACCCCATCTCTACTAAAAATACAAAAATTACCCGGGCATGATGGCACGCGCCTATAGTCCCAGCTACTTGGGAGGCTGAGGCAGAAGAATCTCTTGAACCCGGGAAGTGGAGGTTGCAGTGAGCCGAGATCACACCATTGCACTCCAGCCTGGGCAACGGAACAAGACTCAGTCTCAAAAAAAGAAAAAATAATTGGTTTCTCTCTAATATTTTATAAGGTTATAGAAACTGTCAGATTTTATTAGTCAGTACACAACTGAGTGGTATAATATATTCTTTAAATTTTTTAAAATTTATTTTTATTTAGAGATGGGGTCTTGCCCTGATACTCAGGCTGAAGTGCAGTGGTGCAGTCTTGGCTTACTTCAGTCTTGATCTTCCGGGCTCAAGCAGTCTTCTCACCCCAGCCTCTTGAGTAGCTGAGACCACAGGTGCACTCCACCACCCCTGGCTAAATTTTTGTATTTTTTGTGGAAACAAGGTCTCGCCATGTTGCCCAAGCTGGTCTTGAACTCCTAGGCTGAAGCGATCTGCCCACCTCAGCCTCCCAAAGTGCTGGGATTATAGGCATCAGCCACCTTGCCCAGCCACTGTTCTTTCTTTCTGTCTCTGCCTTCTTTCCATTCAAGTTAGAAAATAATCTTCCTGTCAGTCTGCCTCCATTCCAGTGATGGGCACATAAATATAACTCTCCTGGTTGGAAAGCTTTCCTCTTTCTGAGTAACTGACATTTCTTGTCTTCTTGGGGCTATCATGTGCTAATACCCACAATAACATCAAAACCTTTCCTGTTATCCCACTGCCCTTACCTATTGCTTTTGTACTTTTGCTTTACTTTAGCCACACCATGTTACCATATGTGCCTCTTCCAGGCATGGAAGCTACATATAACACCAGCGGCAGTCAGACGAGGTAAGCACATGAGACTCAGCGTGTGTGTGCGCGTGTGCGTGTGTGTGTGCAAGAGAGAGAGTGCATACATAGGTGGTGTGGATCGTCTGTGGCATGACTTTGACCTCTTGTCCTTGTAAACCTGATCTATGTCTCTCAGATAAACATTTCTGAGATTGAAATCTGTTCTATTACAAGCAGCAACTAGGAATGTGTAATAATACAATTTGTTAAAAAAAAAAAAGTGAAAATCACTAACCAGCTTATTGTACCAGAAGTCCCCTCTCAAGCTATTTCATGTCTTAACAGCCAACTTCAGTCCCTGGACAGGATTGATCTTATCTGAGTACTGTTCATTTGTGCGGTTTACCAGATATCTTCCTCACCCAAAAAGTCTGTTCCTTTTTACATTTTTCCTTATAAAATTCCATAGCAATAAAATGGATTACACATTCTTGTAATTTTTTTACATATGTAGATACAGGCTATGTCTGGAAGTGACTAGAATGCAGGTTGACTGGATATATTATTCTCTGGAAAGAAAGAAAAAGTATTGAGGCCTAGATGTTAAGAAGTTGAGGCTGGGCGTGGTGGCTCACACCTGTAATCCCAGCACTTTGGGAGGCCGGTGCGGGTGGATCACCTAAGGTCGGGAGATCAAGACCATCCTGACCAACATGGAGAAACTCCGTCTCTACTAAAAATACAGAATTAGCTGGGCGTGGTGGCGCATGCCTGTAATTTCAGCTACTCGAGGGGCTGAGGCAGGAGAATTGCTTGAACCCGGGAGGCAGAGGCTGCATTGAGCCGAGATCGTACCATTGCACTCCAGTCTGGGCAACAAGAGCAAAACTCCTTCTCAAAAAAAAAAAAAAAAATGAAGAAGAAGAAGTTGAATGTGCTGGAAGTAGAAAGGGAACCCCTCTCATATCTTCTTTCTCTTCATGGTGCTAGGCTGGAGCCTCCATTCCCTGCCTTGGTACCAAAGTCTTGCTTGGTAGCAGAATCAGCTGTCAGCAAGCTCCTGCTTTCAGCCTCTGAGTTCCAGGTTCGTGGATTGGATGAGCTGGATGGTGTGAAAGCAGCATGCCCCTGCCCACAGAGCAGCCCCCCAGAACAGAAAGAGGTAAGTGTAAAGTGCTGGTTGGGTCAGATGATGGTGGCATTGGAGGTGGCCATTGTCAACTCACATCGCATTATAGCTACAGACTGGCTTCTGAGTATCTTTACGTACCACCTTCAGTGTCAGCCGAGTTCTGGAGAGTACTAAGCCAGGAGTTTTTCTCTTGGCCAGTAAAGGACACAGTGGATTTTTTAATCTGCATTGTTTTCCAGATACTTTTTTCTTGCCAACAGCATGTAACAGTGTTTAGAGAATTGGACGAAAGAGCTGCTTTGTGCATTCAAAGAAGATGAGTGGATGGTGATGATGTTCAATTTTGCAACGTCTGTTGTCTTCAACAGTTGCAAACTTTCATGTTGACAGTCTCAATATCTGAACTGAATGTACAATTCTTGTTTTGATGATATGAAGGGAGTAGTTGCTTAAAACACAGCAGGGGCCAGGCACGGTGGCACACGCCTGTAATCTCAGCACTTTGGGAGGCTGAGGCGGGCGGATCGCTTGAGTCCAGGAGTTCAATAGCAGCCTGGGCAACCTGGCAAAACTGTGTCTCTACAAAAAAGACAAAAATGAGCTGACTGTGGTGGTGCACACCTGCAGTCCCAGTTACTCGGGAGGCTGAGGAGGGAGAATTGCTTGAGCCCGGGAGGCAGAGTTTGCAGCAATGACCCCAGATTGCATCACTGCACTCCAGCCTGAGTGACAGAGTGAAACCCCATCTTAAAAAAAAAATAAAAGGCCGGGCACGGTGGCTCACGCCTGTGATTCCAGCACTTTGGGAGGCCAGGGCGGGCGGATCACCCGGGGTCAGGAGTTCGAGACCAGCCTGGCCAGTATGGTGAAACCCCATCTCTACTAAAAATACAAAAATTAGCCAAATGTGGTGGCACATTCCTGTAATCCCAGGTACTCTGGAGGCCGAGGCAGTAGATTCGCTTAAACCCAGGAGGTGGAAGTTGCAGTGAGCCTGGATTGCACCACCACACTCCAGCCTGGGCGGCAGAGTGAGACTCCATCTCAAAAAATAAATAAGGCCAGATGCGGTGGCTCACATCTGTAATCCTAGCACTTTGGGTGGCCGAGGTGGGCGGATCACCTGAGGTTGGGAGTTTGAGACCAGCCTGACCAACATGGAGAAACCCTGTTTCTACTAAAATACAAAATAAGCCGGGCGTGGTGGCACATGCCTGTAATTCCAGCTACTCAGGAGGCTGAGGCAGGAGAATGACTTGAACCTGGGAGGCAGAGGTTGCGGTGAGCCAAGACCATGCCATTGCATTTAAGCCTGGGCAACAAGAACAAAACTCTATCAAAAAAATAAATAAATAATAAAAAAAGCAGGAATAGAAGTGGGAGCTTTGTCATAAACTGCTTAATAGAGTCATCTCTAGAGTGAGGTAGCAATGTTTTAAGTGTCAAGATGGACTTTATATATTTAAAATATCTTACAATATGCCAGGGGTGGTGGCATACACCTATAGTCCTAGCTACCGCAGAGGCTGAGGCAAAAGGATCAGTTGAGCCCAAGAGTTCCTGGCCAGCCTGGGCAATATAGCGAGACCCCATCTAAAAATAAAAATTCCCAGTTACGGTGGCTTATACTTGTAACCCCAGCGCTTTGGGAGGCCAAGGCAGGAGGATCATTTGAGTCCAGGAATTCAAGGCTGCAGTGAGCTATGATTGCACCACTTCACACCAGCCTGGGCCACAGAGTGAGACCTTGTCTCAAAAAATATATAAATAAAATGTCTTACAGCTTGACCATCTTTCTTCTTAATCCTTAAAAATAGGCTGAGCCAGAGAAGAGGCCAAAGAAAGTCTCACAGATTCGCATCCGGAAAACCATTCCTAGGCCAGATCCTAATCTTACCCCCATGGGCCTTCCTCGACCCAAAAGGTGAGCTCCTTCTCTGTTACAAGCTAGGTTCACTTTTTTGGAAAATTGTTTGTCATAATATAATTGCCCTTTAAATGGTCCTACACTCTGAGCCATTTATTACATTTCTAGGAATTTATCCTAAAGAATTAATTAGTAATGTCGCTAGATATTTATAAGCAAGGACATTTTAATACATTGCCTACATAATCTTAGTAAACCCTCCAAATGAACCTGTGTTAGGTCGTAGCATTGATGCTGGCACATGTGATTTCTGTGTGTCACAGGATTTACCCAACCCCAGAGCTCAAGCTCCTAAATACTCTGTGCACTAAACTGGAAAAGGACCTAAAAGTCCTAAGTTTAGTTTTTCTTAAAAAAGATCTCCAAGCCGGGTGCAGTGGCTCACACCTGTAACCCCAGCACTTTGGGAGGCCGAGGTGGGGAGATCACCTGAGGTCGGGAGTTCGAGACCAGCCTGACCCACACGGAGAAACCCCATCTCTACTAAAAATACAAAATTAGCCGGGCTTGGTGGCGCATGCCTATAATCCCAGCTACTTGGGAAGGCTGAGGCAGGAGATTCGCTTGAGCCTGGGAGGTGGAGGTTGTGGTGAGCCGAGATCGCACCATTGCACTCCAGCCTAGGCAACAAGAGCAAAACTCCGTCTCAAAAAAAAAAAAAATCGCCAAACTTATATTTTCTTCTGATCGATTTTGCTTCTCCATTTCTTATCAGCAAATGGAAGCCTGACAGTGGTCTCTCAGGAGCTTCCCTGTAAAATATGAATAAGAATTCCCAACACTTAAGCTTTCTATACAGGGCCAGGCGCGGTGGCTCACGCCTGTAATCCCAGCACTTTGGGAGGCCAAGGCGGGTGGATCACAAGGTCAGGAGTTTGAGACCAGCCTGACCAACATGGAGAAACCCCGTCTCTACTAAAACTGCAAAATAAGCTGGGCATGGTGGCACACGCCAGTAATCCCAGCTACTTGGTAGGCTGAGGCAGGAGAATCGCTTGAACCCAGGAGGCGGAGGTTGCGGTGAGCCGAGATCGTGCCATTGCACTCCAGCCTGGGCAACAAGAATGAAACTCCGTCTCAAAAAAAAAGATTTCTGTACAGTCTAATTGAGAAAAGAATGTGTACTACCTCCGTTATAGTGCTTCACACAACACGAATAAAATAATCATTTGTTAGGGTCATGATTGATGTTCCACTTCTGTACCATAATCTTTATCTTAATACGTTGTATTTTTGTCTTATGTTTCTTTTGTTGATCTATTGTATGTCTTTTCAAGAGAAATTTTAAAAATATTTCAGATATCCGAGATCGGGTAGTATTTATTACTCGAATGAAATAGGATTCATTATCAGTTCTATTCTCTCTTGCATTTATATGTCTGAAGAACCTTGTTTACATAAATAAGTAGTTGGGAGAGGAAAGAGTTTTAATATAGTAAAGTCATTCAATTATTTCCACTTCTTTCAAGTTATATGCCAAAAAATCATAGAGTGATCTAGCATTATATTTAAGGAAAACAAAAGATTGAAAAGCACTCAGTCACAAAGGTTCTGTTGCCCAGGCATTAGTGGCAGTTACTGTCTCAGTGTCTGGCGCAGACCGAGAAGGGTCCGGCAAATGTCAAATGCCAGATCCTCTTTCCCTTAGAGGTACCTTATTCATTCCAATATACAGAAAGGGGGTTGAGAAAAATAAAATTTTTAATAAATCTTTGCCTAAACCTAGGATGTCTTTTGATAAAAATGCTATTAATCAAATGTACTTTTGTCAAAAAAAAAAAACCCTTGAAGCTGCAGATTTTAGTACATTAAGTTTATGGAAAAGCCTGGGCATATAATTTAATTGGTGGAAGCAATCTTTTATTTAAGCCCATCAAGCAAATCATTCTTCCTGACTTTTCTGTTTTCCAATTCAAGTAAATATGTTAATTTATCCTTTCAGGAAAATGATATAAAACACTGAGAAATAAATTATGGAGTACAAATTGTGAGGTATATTTCTAAAAGTCTTAAAGTCATCATTTATCCATTTTAATAATGCAGGTTGACTATCTCTTCTCCAAATTCTTGGGACCAAAAATGTTTCAGACTTCAGATTTTTTCAGATTTTGGAATATTTGCATTATACTTACCAGCATCCCTCATCTGAAAATCCCAAATGCTCCAATGAGCATTCCCTTTGAACATAACCTTTGAGCATCATGTTGGCACTCAGAAAGTTTCAGATGTTGGAGCATTTCAGATTTTGGATTTTCAGTTATGGATGTTCTTAATAACCCAATAGTGCCAACCTGTGCATTACTAAAACAACATGAGGCCAGGAGCAGTGGCTCACGCCTGTAATCCAAGCACTTTGGGAGGCTGAGGTGGGTGGATCATTTGAGGTCAAAAGTTTGAGACCAGCCTGGCCAACATGGTGAAACCCTGTCTCTACTAAAAATACAAAACTTAGCCAGGCGGTAGTGGCACACGCCTGTAATCCCAGCTACTCGGGAGGCTGAGGCAGGAGAGTCGCTTGAACCCGGGAGGCGGAGGTTACAGTGAGCCGAGGTCGCGGCACTGCACTCCAGCCTGGGCTGGGTCTCAAAAAAAGAAAATATTATTTCTCAGTTCTAAATTTATAATAAAGCATTGTATGTTTTGAAGTGAGGAGTATGGTAGAAAGCATGATACTGCTTTACTAAATGTGTATGCATACATGAATTAAACTCTGGTATTAGACTTTTTTTTTTTTACACAGTCTCGCTCTGTTGCCCAGGCTAGAGTGCAGTGGCACGATCTCGGCTCACTGCAAGCTCCGCCTCCCAGGTTCACGCCATTCTCCTCCCTCAGCCTCCCGAGTAGCTGGGACTACAGGCGCCCGCCAGTACGCCCGGCTAATTTTTTGTATTTTTTTAGTAGAGATGGGGTTTCACCATGTTAGCCAGGATGGTCTTGATCTCCTGACCCCGTGATCCGCCCACCTCGGCCTCCCAAAGTGCTGGGATTACAGGCGTGACCCACCGTGCCCAGCCACTTTAGTATTAGACTTTTAAGAATGATTCAGAATTATTGTAAAAATCAGAACTAAATCTATTGATTTATATAAGTCTCAATGATTGCTTTCTTTTTTTTTTTTGAGATGTAGTTTTGCTCTACATAAAAAAAAAACTCATTGTTTTGAGATGTAGTTTTGAGATGTAGTTGTTGCCCAGGCTGGAGTGAGCCACCAAGCCCAGCCTGCTTTCATATTTAATATAAGAGAAAAGTATATTGGACAAACCAATTGGCAGGGCAGTTTATCACGTACTTTTTGGTATTGTTAATGGGGATAGAAGTTATAACATCTGGCCGGGCATGGTAGCTCATGCCTGTAATCACAGCACATTGGGAGGCCAAGGCGGGTATATCAACTGAGGTCAGGAGTTCAAGACCAGCCTGGCCAACATAGTGAAAACCTGTCTCTACTAAAAATACAAAAATTAGCTAGGCATGGTGGCAGGCACCTGTCATCCCAGCTACTCATGAGGCTAAGGCAGGAGAATCGCTTGAACCCGGGAGGTGGAGGTTGCAGTGAGCCATGATTGAGCCACTCCATCTCAAAAAAAAAAAAGAATTACAACATCTTATAGGATCAGATCAGAAGGGACTGACTACTTGAATTAAATATTTCATTATATGAATTGATAAAAGTTCATGCCTTAACCAAAGGAAATTACTTAAATTTTTTCTGTGGGTTTTGTACACTTCAAGTGTTTGGTAGTCCCAGTAAACATCTTGATATATATATAGTTACAGTTTGTTTGTTTTGTGACAAGGTCTCGCTCAGGCTGGAGTGTAGACGCATGATCATGGCTCACTGCAGCTTCAACTTCAACTTCCTGGGCTCAGGTGATCCTCCTATCTCAGCCTCATGAGTAGCTGGGACTACAGGCATGTGCTACCATGCCCAGCTAATTTTTGTATTTCTAGTAGAGATGGGATTTTGCCATGTTCCCCAGGCTGGTCTTGAACTCCCAGGCTCAAGTGATCTGGCCACCTCCACCTCCCAAAGTGCCCAAATTACTGGTGTCAGCCATCGTGCCGATCCCATGTATATGTTGAGTGGAACTTTTCTAAGTGATGACATATTGTTAATGAGAAGTGAGAATAGCTAGAAAAAATATTGTATATAATTAAATACACGAACAAGCTATTTTTAGTGTTTGAAGCTCTCTTTCCTAAGTAAGGTTTTTTTCTTAAGTAGACATTATTTGATGATAATCAAGGTGAACGAGGCAAAGTCACTCTGACAACTCCTTTCCATGAGATACCTGAAATCAATTGTCCAATTGCCCAAATACCCAATTTCTTTTTTTTTTTTTTTTTTTTTGAGACAGAGTATCACTGTGCCACCCAGGCTGGAGTGCAGTGGTGCAGTTTTGGCTCACTGCAACCTCCACCTCCTGGGTTCCAGTGATTCTCGTGGCTCAGCCTCCCGAGTAGCTGGGATTACAGGCACCTGCCACCATGCCTGGCTAATTTTTTGTTTGTTTGTTTGTTTGTTTGTTTGTTTTTTGAGAAGGAGTTTCACCCTTGTTGCCCAGTCTGAAGTGCAATGGCATGATCTCGGCTCATGGCAACCTCTGCCTTCCAGGTACAGGCGATTCTCCTGCCTCAGCCCCCCGCGTAGCTGGTATCACAGGCACACGCCACCACACCCAGCTAATTTTTGTATTTTTAGTAGAGACAGGGTTTCACCATGTTGGCCAAGCTGGTCTCAAACTCCTGACCTCATGTGATCTGCCCGCCTTGGCCTCCCAAAGTGCTGGGATTACAGGCATGAGCCACCGTGCTCAGCCCCTAATACCCAATCTCTAAAGGCACTCTTCTCTCTTAACTGAATAATGTGTAGTAAAGGAAAAGAAAAGCCCAAGACAAGTTTATGGTGATTTCATTAATCACTGGAAAGGGCTTAGCAAAATGAGTGTTTTGATTGATGTATCAAAGAAGAATTCAGGATGGGTAGGAGCTGTTCTGAGAGAATTTGTGGGAACAGAGAGACCTGCAAGAGCAATTCAGGACACTTCTTAGATGTATCACTTTTAGAAATTAGAGATTGAGCTGGGTATGGTAGTTCACACCTATAATCCCGACACTTTGGGAGGCCAAGGTGGGAGGATCACTTGAGCCCAGGAGGTTAAGAGTAGCCCGGGCAACATGGTGAGACCACATTTCTACAAAAATTAATAATAAGGCGAGGCGCGTTGGCTCATGCCTGTAATCCCAGCACTTTGGGAGGCTGAGGTGGGTGGATTGTGAGGTCAGAAGTTCGAGACCAGCATGGCTAACATGGTGAAACCCCATCTCTATTAAAAATACAAAATTAGCTGGGTGTGGTGGCGTACACCTGTAATCCCAGCTACTGGGGAGGCTGAGGCCGGAGAATCGCTTGAACCCAAAAGGCGGTGGTTGCAGTGAGCCGAGATCGCACCACTGCTCTCCAGCCTGGGCAATAGAGCAAGACCCCATCTAAAAAAAAAAAAAATTATAATAATAAAGAAAAAATAGAAATTAAAGATTGAGTGGTTGATTCTCCTACAGCCGGGTTCTCGTGTACTCTGTGGAAAGTTTTTAGGTACACTAAAGACCACTGGTCTAACATATTTAGTAGCAACCTAATTTAGCTCTTAGGATTTTTACCTTAGTATTACGTATTGGTTCAAGTCCAATCAGGAGACAGAAATCACACAGTATTTTAGACAGGGGAAGTTTATTATAAAACATTAAACTATGACAGGGAGTAACCTTAAATGTAAAGAGAATCCTGAAGGGTACACTCGGGTTAAGGGAGAGTACCCTAGGAAGGGCAAACTTGGAAGGGACACCACCTCCCTCAAGGTTGGAGTTGAGACTTGGTTGGAGAAGGTGAGGTTGCAGCCCATTGGATGGGTGGGTTGCAGAGGCCAGAGCTGGGCAAGCAGGAAATAACAACCACCTTCTCAAGCATAGACAAGATAAGGCTGCTGCAGACGGAGGTAGGGCACTGCTGTGATGCAAGGCCTGGAGCATGTGGTTTTTGCTTCAGGAGAGTGACAGGAAATGACCATCAGGAAGTCAGGTTACCACTGAGGGCATAAGGCCTGGAGTGCCCTATGCGTGTTGGGAAGCCTGCAGCAAAGTGGTCGCCAAGCTAAGGCTGCAAAGTCACTGAGGGACTACATGTCCTGGCCGCACCACTAGGGCAGAGAAGCCCCAAGACACCCCAACATATATTAATCACTGATGGCCCATGGTGCAGGAGCAAGAAAAAAAGCTCACCAAACCGGAAAGAGAAGCTCCCTTCCACCTGCATTGTTCCTCCAACACCTTGTGACAAAGTTTAGCATCATACTCACTGCAAAAGAGAAATGCTTAAAGGGCCTAGGATTCCGTTATCACAGAGCAGGTACTGCAGGGCAGATTTTGAGCTGAAAAGCAATAATTTCATCATTGGCATATAGTAAACAGTAAAATTTTGATACATTATTCGCTTCACAAAGAGCTGTTCTTTTTTTGGGGGTATATTATTTGCTTGACAAATAACTGTAGGTTTTTTTGTTTTGTTTTGTTTTGATGGAGTCTGGCTCTGTCACCCAGGCTGGAGTGCAGTGCCGCGATCTGGGTTCACTGCAACTTCAGCCTCCTGGGTTCAAGGGATTCTCCTGCCTCAGCCTCCCGAGTAGCAGGGACTACAGGAGTGTGCCGCCACACCCAGCTAATTTTTGTATTTTTAGTAGAGACAGGGTTTCACCATTTTGGCCAGGATGGTTTTAATCTCTTGACCTCATGATCCGCCCATCTCGGCCTCAAAGTGCTGGGATTATAGGCGTGAGCCACCGCACCTGGCCTAATTTTGTATTCTTTTTCTTTTTTTTTTTCTGTTTTTGTTTTTGTTTTTGTTGAGACGGAGTCTTGCTCTGTCACCCAGGCTGGAGTGCAGTGGCCCGATCTCAGCTCACTGCAAGCTCTGCCTCCCGGGTTCACGCCATTCTCCTGCCTCAGCCTCCCGAATAGCTGGGACTACAGGCGCCCGCCACCACACCCGGCTAATTTTGTTTTTTGTATTTTTAGTAGAGACATGGTTTCACCATGTTAGCCAGGATGGTCTCGATCTCCTGACCTCATGATCCGCCCACCTCAGCCTCCCAAAGTGCTGGAATTACAGGCATGAGACACCGTAATTTTGTATTCTTAATAGAGACAGGGTTTCACCATGTTGGTCAGGCTGGTCTTGAACTCCTGACCTCAAGTGATGGTCCAAAAAATGTTTAAAAGTTGCTGCTGGCCGGGCGTGGTAGCTCACGCCTGTAATCCTAGCACTTTGGGAGGCTGAGATGGGTGGATCACTTGAGGTCAGGAGTTTGAAACCAGCTGGCCAGGCGCAGTGGCTCACGCCTTTCCCGGCTGGAGTGCAGTGGCACGATCTTGGCTCATCGCAACCTCTGCCTACCAAGTTCAAGCGATTCTCCTCCCTCAGCCTTCCAGAGTAGCTGGGATTATAGGTGTGTACTACCACATCGGCTAATTTTTGTATTTTTAGTAGAAACAGGGTTTCACCACGTTGGCCAGGCTGGTCTCAAACTCCTGGACTCAAATGATTTGCCCACCTTGGCCTTTCAAAGTGCTAGGACTACAGGCGTGAGCCACCGTGCCTTGCCTATAGTGTGTTTTATATGTTAAAGAAATACAAGTGGGTTGAAAATATGAATAATGAAGCAAGATATACTTAAAAATAACCAACTACATTTAAAGTAGAACTGTACAGAATTTCTAAAAATGTAAAATTGAATAATCAAAATAAAACTTTAATAAATGGGTTAACAGCAGGTTAAATAGAGCGAAATAGTGTTAATGAACAGGAGCACACCAGAACAAAATTTTCACAGTGAAGTACAGAAACAAAAAATATGATCAAGGGAGAGAATTGAATGAGGATGTGGAGCAACAGGCACTCTCATTCACTGCTGGTGGGAATGCAAAATGGTATATAGCCTCTTTGGAAGACAGTTTGGCAAGTCCCGTACAAAACTAAACCTACATACCATACCATACAGCAGCTGCACTCCTTGGTATTTACCCAAATGAGTTGAAAACATTTCACACAAAATCTGTACATAAATGTTCATAGCAGCTTTATTCAGAATTTCTAAAACTTGGAAGCAACCAAGATGTCCGTCAGTAGCTGAATGAATAAACTGTCTGGACAATGGAATATTACTCAGTACTAAAAAGGAATTAGCTATCAATGATATAAATGATATGGAGGAATCTTAAATGCTTACTACTGAGTAAAGGAAGCCAATCTGAATAAACTACGTACTGTATGAGTTCAGCTCTATGACATTCTGGAAAAGGCAAAACCATGGAGACAGAAGTCACCAAGTGTTGAGGGGAAGGAAGGGATGACTAGGTGGAGCACAGAGGGTATGTAGGGCAGTGAAAACTGTTATGTGTGTTACTGTAATGAGGGATACATGGCATTATGTGTTTGTCAAAACTCATAGAAGACAACAACAAGGGTGAGCTCTGACATAAACTGGACTTTTGGGTGATAATAATGTATCAATATAGGTTCATTGTACAACAGTTGTACACTCTGGAAGGCTGTCCATGTGTGAGGGTAGGGGCTATATGGGAACTCTCTACTTTCTGCTCAGTCTTTCTGTGAACATAAAACTACTATAAAAAATAAAGTATAAAAAAAAGAAAAGATGACCAGGCATGGTGGCTCACGCCTGTAATCCAAGCACTTTGGGAGGCCAAGGTGGGAGGAATGCTTGAGCCCAGGAGTTCAAGGCCAGCCCGGGCAGCATGAGACCCTGTCTCTACAAAAATAAAAATAAAATGAACCAGGCATGGTGGCACACTCCTGTAGTCTCAACTATTTAGGACACTGAGGTGGAAGGATCACTGAGTCTAGGATTTCAAGGCTGCAGTGAACTGTCATCAAACCACTGATCTCCAGTTTGGGCAAGAGAGTGAGACTGTCTCCCCCTGCCCAACTCTCTCCCACAAAAAACAAGATAATGTATAACCCACAGAATTGGAGAAAATATTTGCAAATCACACATCTAATAAGGGTCTGGTATCCACAAGCTATAAAGAACTCTTATAGTTCAACAACCAAAAGACAATAACCCATATTTTTTAAATGGACAAAGTGTTTCAATAGACATTTCTCCAAAGAAGATAGACAAATGGCCCACAAGCATTTGAAGAGATGCTGTTGACATCATGAGTCATCAGGGAACTGCAAATCAAAACCACAGTGAAATACCACTTCCCACCCACTAGGATGTAAAGAAACAATAAAACAGAAAATAAGTGTAGTAAGGGTGTGGAGAAACTCAAACCCTTATACACATCTCTTGGGAATGTAAAATGGTATAGCCACTGTAAAAAAAAAAATTGGCAGTTCCTGAAAAAATTAGTTACCATATGACCCAACAATTCTTCTAGGTATATACCCAAAAGAATTGAAAACATGCCAGGCACGGTGGCTCACGCCTGTAATCCCAGCACTTTGGGAGGCCGAGGTGGGCAGACCATCTGAGGTCAGGAGTTCGAGACCAGCCTGGCCAATATGGTGAAACCCCATCTCCACTAAAAATACAAAAATTAGCCAGGAGTGGTGGTGCGTGCCTGTAATCCCAACTAATCGGGAGGCTGAGGCAGGAGAATTGCCTTAACGCAGGAGGTGGAGGTTGCAGTGAGCTAAGATCATGCCACTGCACTCCAGCCTGGGTGATAGAGCAAGACTCTGTCTCAAAAAAAAAAAAAGGAATTGAAAACATACATTCACCAAAAAACCTGTGCATGAATATTCACAGCAGCATTATTCATAGCTAAAAAGTGGAAACCAAATGTTCCTCAGTTGATAAATGGATAAAGAAAAGATGGTATATCCATAGATGGCGTATTATTCAGCCAGGAAAAGGAACGAAGTACTGATACATGCTACAACAGGAGTTAACTATGAAAACAGCACATTCTATATGATTCATTTTATATGAAAAGTCTAGAATCCTTAGAGACAGAAAGTAGTTTAGTGGTTACCAGTGCTGGGTGGCAGGGGAGAGTCCAGGTGACTGCTAAAAGTAGGTTTCTGTTTGGAGTTATGAAAGTGTTTTAAGGCTGGTTGTGGTGGTTCATTCCTATAATCCCAGCTCGTTGGCAGGTAGAGGCAGGAGGATCACTTGAGCCCAGGAGTCTGATACCAGCCTGGGCAACATAGTGAGACCACATCTCTACAAAAGATCAGGTCAGGCATCGTGGCTCAACCCTGTAATCCCAGCACTTTGGGAGGCTGAGACTGGAGGATCGCTTGAGCTGAGGAGTTCAAAGCTAGCCTGTACAACATAGACCCTATCTCTACCAAAAATAGTTTTTAAAAATTAGCCCGACATGCCTGTGATCCCAGCACTATGGGAGGCCGAGGTGGGCAGATTACCTGAGGTCAGGAGTTCAAGACCAGTCTGGCCAACATGGTGAAACCCTGTCTCTACTAAAAATATTTTAAAAATTAGCCGCGCGTGGTGGTAGGCGCCTGTAATCCCAGCTACTCGGGAGGCTGAGGGAGGAGAATCGCTTGAACCCGGAATGCGGATGTTGCAGTGAGCCTAGATCACACCACTGCACTCCAGCCTGGGTGACAGAGTGAGACTTGGTCTCAAAAAAAAAAAAGAAATAGAAAAGAAAAAAAAATTAGCTGGAGGCCGGGCATGGTGGCTCACAGCTGTAATCCCAGCACTTTGGGAGGCCAAGGTGGGCAGATCACAAGATCAGGAGTTTGAGACCAGCCTGACCAATATAATGAAACCCTGTCTCTACTAAAAATACAAAAATTATCTGGGCATGGTGGTGCATGCCTGTAGTCCCAGCTACTCAGGAGGCTGAGGCAGAAGAATCACTTGAACCCAGAAGGCAGATGTTGTAGTGAGCCAAGATCACGCCACTGCACTCCAGCCTGGGCGACAGAGCAAGACTCCGTCTCAAAGAAAAAAAAAAAAAAAATTAGCCAGGGACTATAGGTCCCAGCTACTTGGGAAGCTGAGAGAGGAGGATTGCTTCAGCCAGGAAGGTCGAGGCTGCAGTCAGCTATCATTGTACCACTGCACTTTAACCTGGGCAAGAGAGCGAGATGCTGTCTTTAAAAAAATGAAAAAATAGGCCAGTCACAGTGGCTCACGCTTGTAATTCCAGCACTTTGGGAGGCCGAGATGGGTGGATCACCTGAGATCAGGAGTTCAAGACCAGCCTGGCCAACATGGTGAAACCCCACCTGTACGAAAAAATCAAAGTTACAGCTGGGCATGGTGGCTCACGCCTGTAATCCCAGCACTTTCAGAGGCCGAGGTGGGTGGATCACCTGAGGTCAGGAGTTCGAGACCATCTTGGCCAACGTGATAAAACCCCATCTCTACTACAGAAAGTTACAGCTGGGCATGGTGGCTCATGCCTGTAATCTCAGAACTTTGGGAGGCCGAGGTGGGTGAATCACCTGAGGTCAGGAGTTCGAGACCAGTCTGGCCAATGTGGTGATACCCTATCTCTACTAAAAATACAAAAATTAGCTGGGTGTGGTGACACGCACCCGTAGTCCCAGCTACTCGGGAGGCTGAGGCAGGAGAATCGCTTGAACCCGGGAGGTAGAGGTTGCAGTGAGCCGAGATTGCACAACTGCACTCCAGCCTGGCAACAGAGCAAGACTCCATCTCAAAAGAAAAAAAAAAATCAAAAATTAGCCAGGTGTGGTGGCGGATGCCTGTAATTCCAGCTACTGAGGAGGCTGGGCAGGAGAATCGCTTGAACCCGGGTGGTGGAGATTGCAGTGAGCTGAGATCGCGCCATTGCACTCCAGTCTGGGCAAAAAGAGCGAAACTCTGTCTCAAAAAATAAATAAATAAAATAAAAAAATAAGCCGGCTGTGGTGGCACACACCTGTGGTCCCAGCTACACGGGAGGCAGAGACAGGAGGATCTCTTGAGCCCAGCCCAGGAAGTTGAGGCTGCAGTGAGCCATGTTTGAGCCACTGCAGTCCAGCCTGGGTGACAGCACAAGACCCTGTCTCAAAAAAAAACTGGTCTTGATTAGATAGTGGTGATCAGGAATAACCTTGCGAATGTTTTAAAAATCACTGAATTGTACATTTTAAATGGATGAATTTTATGATAGGTGAACCTGGGCTCCTTGGAGAGTGATTACAGGTCTAGGGCAGGAAATGAATAAGATGAATGTATCTTGTCATACCAGAAGGTAGCAAAGCTCTCAGAGACTCCTAGGGTCATGTCAAAGGGATTCAGGGCCAGTTTTTTCTTTATTTTTTAATTTTGTATAGAGACAGCGTCTTGCTTTGTTGCCCAGGCTGGTCTCGAACTCTTGGGCTCAACAATTCTCTTGCCTCAGTCTCCCAAGTAACTGGGACTACTGTTGGGAGCCCCCATGCCTGGCTCTCAAGAACCAGTTTGAAGAGATTACCTCTGGCCACAGATGAGACTCAAAAGAATAATAAGTTCAATAGATTAAAACATATCAAATATAAACCCAATAGTTAATAATGATACTTTAAAAAATTTAAAACCATTGGCCATCTTTGGAAGATACTGGGGAACCAATTCATTGTTTTGGAAATTGGTAATAAAAGGAAAAAAGCAAGCATATGGCCTGCTTTTACTATTCAAGCTGTACCTCAGGGTTACTGTATAATTGATAGGTGTGAAGGGTTTTTGTGTGTGTGTGTGTGTGTGTGTGTATGTATATATTTTTTAAGAGACAGGGTCTTTGTCACCCAGGCTGTACCCAGTGTCAGACTCCTAGGCAACAGAGCAAGACCCCATCTCTAAAAAAGAAAAAAACAAAAAAGAACAGAATATATAGTTTTCTAGTCAGTGGAGGGAGATAGAAAAAAAAGAACAGTCAGTTCACAAAAAGAAACATTGCAAAGCAGCACAAACAACAGCTGTAAAGTAGATATAAATCTATGAAAAATAATATATATAAATCTAAATATATCATTCCCAGTAAGTATGAATGGGCTCAGTTACATAAAGTTGAAGGTTGGTACCCTGGAAAAGAAAATCCAGTACATATTGTTTGCATGAGACACATCTAAAACATATTACAGACAGGTTGGAGCAAACGAAAAGGATAGCATTGGGA
Source organism: Homo sapiens (assembly GCF_000001405.40). Classification (NCBI taxonomy): domain Eukaryota; kingdom Metazoa; phylum Chordata; class Mammalia; order Primates; family Hominidae; genus Homo; species Homo sapiens. The sequence goes on along the minus strand of NC_000022.11, from coordinate 31,688,494 downwards.
AATAAGTCTCTTCCATCTTAGGAGAACATGAGGCTGTGCACAGTAGCTCATGCCTAATTTTTTTTTTTTTAATCTAGCCTGGCATGGTGGCACACACCTGTAATCCCAGCTACTCAGGAGGCTGAGGCTGGAGGATGGCTAGAGTTTAAGGCTGCAGTGAGCTATGATCATGTCACTGCCCTTCAGCCTGGGCAACAGAGCAAGACCTTCTCTGAAAAAAAAAAGAGAGAGAGAACCTGAAGAATTTTTTTCCTTATTTCTTTTCAGGTTAAAGAAGAAGGAGTTTAGTTTAGAAGAGATATATACCAACAAGAATTATAAATCTCCTCCTGCAAACAGGTAGGTACTTATAGCTGGGAAATAAAAGGGAAGAATTTGAAATGATTGATGTGAATCTCCAGCCCTTTCACTTTAGAAAGAGTTTATGTTCAGTTGTACCAATATTGGGTCTTTTTTTTTTTTTTTTTGAGACAGAGTCTCTGTCGCCCAGGCTGGAGTGCAATGGCGCAATCTCGGCTCACTGCAAGCTCCGCCTCCTGGGTTCACGCCATTCTCCTGCCTCAGCCTCTCCGAGTAGCTGGGACTACAGGCGCCCGCCACCACACCCGGCTAATTTTTTGTATTTTTAGTAGAGACAGGGTTTCACCGTGGTCTCGATCTCCTGACCTCGTGATCCGCCTGCCTTGGCCTCCCAAAGTGCTGGGATTACAAGTGTGAGCCACCGCGCCCGGCCAATATTGGGTTTTATAAATAGCTAGAATTGGTATTTTCAATTGCAGCACTTGAATTAGGGTCAGTAATAGGATAGGAAATAAAGTGTATTGGGTTACGTAAAGAAAATGTAGCCAGGCACGGTGGCTCACGCCTGTAATCCCAGCACTTTGGGGGGCCAAGGCGGGTGGATCACGAGGTCAGGAGTTCGAGACCAGCCTGACCAACATGGTGAACCCTGTCTCTACTAAAAATACAAAAAATTAGCCGGGCATGGTGGCTCACACCTGTAATCCCAGCTATTTGGGAGGCTGAGGCAGGAGAATTGCTTGAACCCGGGAGGAGGAGATGGCAGTGAGCTAAGATCACACCACTGCACTCCAGCCTGGGCAACAGAGCTAGACTCTGTCTCAGAAAAAAAAAAAAAGAAGAAAGAAAATGTAGTCTCAGCCAGGTGCAGTGGCTGACACCTGTAATTCAAGCACTTTGGGAGGCCAAGGCGGGCAAATCACCTGAGGTCAGGAGTTCAAGACCAGCCTGGCAAACACAGTGAAACCCTGTCTCTACTAAAATACAAAATTACCCAGGCGTGGTGGCACACACCAGTAATCCCAGCTACTCGGGAGGCTGAGGCAGGAGAACCGCTTGAACCCGGGGGGTGGAGGTTGCAGTGAGCCGAGATCGCGCCATTGCACTCCAGCCTGGGCAACAAGAGCGAAACTCCATCTCAAAAATGAAAAAGAAAAAAGAAGTATAAACAAGTAGTTTGTGTTTGTATTTTTACCAAATATGCTGACTTCAGGACTGATAATCATTGATTTTTCAGATATGATTGTAAACCGAAATACAGGAAGAGTTTCACTTAGGTCTGAATTCAATTCAAGTCAGTGAACATTTATTAAATGCCCACTGTTTCTAGAATATAGAAGGAGAATTGTAGGATTTTATCCTAAGATTTTGTATGTCTGCTCTAACACATTTGTACAATTACTTATAATTAATTCCTTATAATGGAATATACTGTGTAACCATTTAAAAAAAACGAATCAGAGCCAGGCACAGTGGCACATGCCTGTAATCGCACCACTTTGGGAGGCCAAGGAGGGAGGATCACTGGAGCCCTTGAGTTGGAGACCAGCCTGAGCAATATACCAAGACTCCATCTCTACAAAAAAAAAATTCTTTTTAAATTAGCCAGACATGGTGGTACATGCTTGTAGTCCCAGCTACGTGGGAGGCTCAGGTAGGAGGATAGCTTGAGCCCAGGATGTCGAGGCTGTAGTGAGCTGTGATTGTGATTGTGCCACTGCACTCCAGCCTGAGTAACAGAGTGAGACCCTGTCTCAAAAAAAAAGTTTTTTTTTTAAAGATGAGTCAGGGCTGGGTGCAGTGGCTCACACCTGTAATCCCAGCACTGGGAAGCCGAGGCGGGCGAATCATGAGGTTAGGAGATCAAGACCATCCTGGCTAACAGAGTGAAACCCTGTCTCTACTAAAAATACAAAAAAAAAAAAAAAATTAGCCGGGCGTGGTGGTGGGCACCTGTAGTCCCAGCTACTTGGGAGGCTGAGGCAGGAGAATGGCGTCAACCTGGGAGGCGGAGCTTGCAGTGAGCGGAGATCACACCACTGCACTCCAGCCTGGGTGACAGAGTAAGACTCCATCTTAAAAAAAAAAAAAAATTAACCTGGCATAGTGACACATACCTGTAGTCCCCACTACTTGGGAGGCTGAGGCAGGAGAATCGCTTGAACCCAGGAGACAGAGGTTGCAGTGAGCCAAGATCATGCCATTGCGCTCCAGCCTGGGCAACAAGAGTGAAATTCTGTCTCACAAAAAAAAGAAAAAGAGTTGGCGCAAGTAGCTTTCAGTCCCTGTTGACTAGAAGGGTTGTTGACCCAGCGTCAACATCCTGACCCTGTTGACAGGATGGGCCATGTGAGTCAGTCTGTTGGTGATTGTTTCGTGCTTCATCCTTAGGTGTTTAGAGACCATCTTTGAGGAACCCAAGGAACGAAATGGTACACTAATCTCAATCAGCCAACAGAAGAGGAAGCGAGTTCTAGAATTTCAGGATTTTACAGTCCCGCGAAAGAGGAGAGCTCGAGGCAAAGTCAAGGTGGCAGGCAGCTTTACCAGGGCCCAGAAGGCAGCTGTGCAGAGTCGAGAGCTGGATGCTCTTTTGATACAGAAACTAATGGAACTGGAGACCTTCTTTGCCAAGGAAGAGGAGCAGGAACAATCATCAGGCTGTTGAGAAGCGATTCAGTTTGAGGGTCTCAATTTTAGGGTTTTTTTGTTTTGTTTTGTTTTTGGGTTTTTTTTTTTTTTTTGGACCTCCTTGGAAAAGGTTGCCTAATTTTGCCCTACCGCCAAACCACTCAAAAATGCACAGTCCATGAATTTTTACCTATTTCAAGGTGCAACCTTTTTAGAAACTGGTGAAGGAGGGTCCTCTACTTTTACTGCTGAGTATAGAACCTCAGGAATGCTCCCTTTCTCCTGGAAATGGACCTGAACGACATCCAGCCACCTCCTCAGTCTCTGCCATCCACAGGAGGAAGCAGCAGCCTATCTTCAGTAACACTAGGATTCCAAGGACACACAGGATTTGCACGTCCATATGAAAGTTCCGCTTTGTTTACGGTGGTGCTAGACCAAGATTATTAGAAACGTGGCCTAGGGAGGGGGACCTGGCGTCCTGTCCTGTGTGGTCTCACTGGCTCATTTCAGTAGTTGAGGAAAGATGAGCTGTTGTGTTTTCTTATCTTTTGTCTGCCCAGGACCTATTGATGTGAGTGTATGTGAGAGTGTTTGTGTGTGTGTGGCTTTTTCCCATCGTTTTCTCCCCTCTGTGACTGGGTCACTAGTGCCAGAGGAGCCCGTCCAGGCCCCATTCGAAGTAAGTTGCACTTTTTAATGTTGTGGTGTGGATTATTTTCATTTGTTTTATTTTCTTTTTTGTTGTTGTTTTTGTACTATTATTGCTGCATGTGTGGAGCCTTTAAATGTGATTTTAAAACATTTTTTTAAGGAGAAAAACAATACATGTCTTAAGAATACATGATAGGCATTTGACCCAGTTGATCGCTGCATGGAAGAGACATTTTTCCTATTCATGTGTTTCAGGCAATCCCTTCCCCATCTCCAGCTTCTAGTGTAACTCATTAGAGGGAGCACTTTTTTTCATCTGGGTTCTCATTCTTGCCCACCAAATACATGTATTTATTTTAGTGATTTAAGTAAGAGCAGGTTTCTCTCCCGATCATTGAAAAACTACTATGGTTGGGTGTGGTCTTAATGGTTTTTATCTGAAATGGTGTTAGGTAACAAAATTGAGTACAACGGCTTGGGCAGTGATACAGGCTGACCCACAGTATTTGTGGCTTTCCAGGCAGCCCGCTTCAAGTGTGGGGAGAGAGTCGGGGTCATGTTTCAGACCCAGAGATGTGTTCCTGCAGTGGGATCTCAAAAATCCCCAGCCAGCCTTCTTTGAGGGCCACCTCATTGTACTCTGGGCTCCTACGTCACATCTACCGGAACTGTCAAATGCTGGAGTTAGCCGAGTTTCTGGGTTTGTGCCTGCAGGAGTCTGTGGGCAGAGGGATGCTGTGGGTCAGCAGCCTCGAGGTCTTGTTCCTTTTCCACTGAAGTCCTGTGTGTCCATATCCTGCTCCCCTTCCCCTCCTTCTCTAGGGGTTTCTCTTTCTCTCTCAAAACAAGAGTTTAGAGAATTAACATTCCATGGCTAGTGAGTGGGATGCAAAAGTCATCGTCAGGACACCAGCATCACCTCTTCATATCCTCCTGGGAGCCACTGGCATGGAGCAGCCGCCGATGGGAACCGTCAGAGTTCTAGGGACATTTCCAAGTCAGTCTATTAGAGAAGAGTGAGTGGCACGTCCTGGAATGTTGGCCAACTCTCCTAGGTTTCTTTTGCTTCCCCATTTGCTAGTGGATGGGGAGATGGGTTGGGGGTGGGGGGTCTCTATGTGCCTTGCTTTTGCAGGTTGACAGTCTATGCCACACTGGAGCAGAAAAACTGACATGAGCCAGAGGGAAAAGTGTGCCACGGCTATGTTCTAGGCCCACTGCCTCAGACATAGCATTGAGACGAGTGAAATACACACTTGGTCATCCACGGAGGCTTCCAAGGCCATGGCCAAATACAGTTAGAAGAGAGCCAGGCTTCCGTACCAGCTCTGAATGATGCTAACCAGATTCTGTCATTCTACATCCACTTTGCCCAGACTGTATAGACACGACCTATGTTTCACCTCAATACCTCTCCCTTCCTGGGACAGGGTTCTTAGACACTAAATGCTTCTCTCTGACTTTTTTGCTTAAGGGAGTGGGATGAGTAGTACATTTTGCCCTTGTCCAGGCATGTTTAAGGAGCTCCTACTGGACAGGTTGCAGACTAGCAGTGAGTCAACAGAGCCCTGTTTGCCAGCTCTGTTGCCAGTATAGATGCAGTGATGTGGCGGCTATGTTTCCCAGAGACAACAGTGGGCACAGCTATAGTGTCACCAACATGGCAGAGATAGTTTCAACTGTGCCTGTTACAGGTGTGGCACTCGAAGGACCAGAAGCAGCGGTTTGGAACATGGGTAACTGGGAGCAGAGGACTGGAAGAAACAGAGCTGGGCTCCTTCCCTGTCCTGACAATGTAGGAGAGGAGTTGTTGTGAGGCCAGCCCTGCCCGTCGTTGAAATTCTGGACCTACCCTCTAGCTAGGTCCCTTCCCCTGCTCCAAAGTTGAGAAGGGGGCCCCACTGCAAACTTGAAATTACTTACCTGAAGGTGATGTATATACCTAGGCTCCAGCTGCGCTCAGCCACACCTGTCTTAACATTCAGTTTCGGCACTGAGCCAGCTGCAGTGTTGTCAGGGGTCCCCAGGCCCGTGGTCCCTAACCACGATGGGACATGGTAATCGGCTGCTGGCACACCACCTGCCCAGAGCTACAGGAGGTCTGGTTCTGGGGTGGAGTTGGTACAGTTTCTGAGTATGGGAACTTCCCTCCCCAAGTGGTGGGAAGTTACAGTTAACTACAGCTTACTCAACTATCACTTCCAGAGGTTTAGTGTTTTTAATATGGGAAAGAGGAGAAATCTCAGGTCTAATCAGGGTTCTGCCCATCAGCTTTTCACTGAAACTTTCAACTGTGTTTTGTTTTTTGTTTTTTTTTCCATCTTTCAGTTTCTAGCTGTGTTTGCCTTCTCCCTCCGCGTTCCCTCCTCTTTTTTTGCTTTTGGTCTCCTTTCCAGCTTCATGTCTCCATGAGTTCAGCTGTACCTCATCTCCTGTTAAAGCAGATCATGTCCACTTTTTCTTACTGACCTTACTCTAAGCTACAGTAGCTGAGGGAGGTACGGTGAAGACATGTAGCGTTTGCCTTATTCGGAGCCTGAGGAGCCCAGAAACCCATGCTGTGAATCCCAAAACTCAGCGCTCCTCAAGAGCTGTGAAAATCATGATACTTTGTCACAATTTTGCCTGAAAGGGTCTTTGGCACGGGCTCCAGAGCCAACCTGAGGTCCATTCCAGATCCCACTATCTGGGCGTGAGACCTCCCCCGTGGCTCCTTCCTTGCCCACTGAGCCAAGAGCAGCAGGGAGCGTACAGGACGGGAGCAGCAGATCCAAGGCCGCGGTGCAGCCAATGAATGCACGGCCGTCGCTCCGTCTCCAGGCTGGAATTCCGTCTCATAATCAATGCCATGTACATTAAGATCTGCGAAAGACCAACTTTTAGGCAGTGATACTTTTCTCCCATTCCCTGGGGTGGGGGGAGTATGCAGTTGGTGCTTTCTGTAATTCCCTTGTTCTGTTTTGTTTCTGTAAGCTTTTCCCCTGGTGTCATGGAAAGGACTTCTTAAATAACCACATTGTGGGTGGCTGTATCCAAAGTTTAAATAATTGGCCAGAAGTGCAGAGTATCCTTTCCTGGATTCGTGTCAGAAAAGGGCTCCTTGCCACAACTGAACTTACTGTATAAAAACCTGGCTAGGGAGATTTAATTTTACTAAAATTACAGTTTAATGTTACCGTCTAGCCACAAATCAAGCAGCAAAAGCTATTTTGATGATGAAAGGGGGTCCCCGTTGAGCTGGCCATCTAGTGCAGTGTGCTCTCAGATTCCATGTTTGTTGATTGTGTGTCTTCACAAGCCCCTCTCTGGTGCTGAATTGGATTTGAATTCTTGGTGAGAGGCCTCAGCATCTCCTTGGGCTGGTCTGGGCCAGTAAAAATAGCTGCCTGACATGTTTATATATTATCATGGTCAGTAGTTCAATGAAATTTGTACATTTTTGGTAACATTGGTATACATGATGCCCCTGCAGTTCCTTTTCTGTTTGGTAGTTTGTGACTCTAAGATTTCCACTGTTATGTGTGTTAATTTATGAAAATAAATTTTTTTGAAAACCTTTCAAATAACTCTCAAGGCCGTTACTTTGTTCTCGTGGCTTGGCAATAAGTTAAAATAGACATTCCAAAGTTATATGTCACAGTAAGCATCGTTCCTTCCAAAGTGGTCACCATTTTCTGAGGAGTATCCTGTTGTAACTGTGGGACCAGCTCAAACTGATTAACCATTGCTTAAGTTGTTACAGGTGAGACAGCCAAAATTGCCTGAGCGTGCACAGTGGAAAAAAGCTTTAACGTTTTAATTGTTACCACCACGAGCCTGGCAGGCCGACTGCATTGGCATCACCTAGGACTAGATAGGAATGCCATAAAAGCTTGACCCACTTCCAGATCAGGGAGACATTTGAGCATTGCTTCCTGTCTCTGTGCCAATTGACTTTTTTTGGGGGCGGGGGGTGGAGTTTCACTCTGTCGCCAGGCTGGAGTGCAGTGGCATGCAATCTCAGCTTATTGCAACCTCCACTTCCTGGTTTCAAGGGATTCTCATGCTTCAGCCTCCCAAGTACTGGGATTACAGGCACCCACCAACAAGTCCAGCTAATTTTTGTATTTTTTTTAGAAGAGGGTTTCACTATGTTGGTTGGGCTGGTCTTGAACTCCTGACCTCAGGTGATCCCCCCACCTCGACCTCCCGAAGTGCCCGGATTGCAGGCGTGAGCCACTGAGCCCAGCCTCATTTACTTTTTTTGAGACAGAGTTTCACTCTTGTTGCCCAGGATGGAGTGCAATGGCACGATCTCAGCTCACCGCAACCTCCGCCTCCCAGGTTCAAGCGATTCTCCTGCCTCAGCCTCCCGAGTAGCTGGGATTATAGGCATGGGCCACCACGCCTGGCTAATTTTATACTTTTAGTAGAGACGAGGTTTCTCCATGTTGGTCAGGCTGCTCTTGAACTCCCAACCTCAGCTGATCTGCCCGCCTCGACCTCCCAAAGTGCCAGGATAGCAGGTGTGAGCCCCCGTGCCCAGTCCCTCGTTTACTTTTTAAAAGATCTCACCACTTAATACTTGTCCTTCCCAGCTGTTTATGAGGTTACGCTATGAATCTTCTGCTTCTCATTTAGCCAATGGAAACTGGTAAAAGAATGACTGAAAACACCTCTGTAACACCACACTGATATATTCCAGAAAGAAGCATGATTCCTGGTGACATTCTTCCTCTGCCCAGAGCAAAAGCAGTGAGTGCCCAGTTTCCCTTCTTGGCCTCAGAACTGCAACAAGGAATTCTATCCATGTAGTCTTCTATTTACAGAACTTAACTGCGTGACAGCTGTGCTTCTTGTTAGGTTTCATGGTTATTTGGAGAAATGTACTCTCCTACACCATTTCTTGAGAAAAGAGTTGCTAATTAACAGTTAAGGCAGTATAATCTCTTTAACCTCTCATTACAGAATCTTGTGTTGGTAGAGCCTGGTGAAGACTGATCAAAACTAATTTAAGGCTGAGCGCTGTAACTCATGCCTGTAATCCCAACACTTTGGGAGGCCGAGGCAGGTGGATCACTTGAGGTCAGAAGTTGAAGACCAACTTAGCCAACATGGTGAAACCCCATCTCTACTAAAAATACAAAAATTAGCCAGGCATGGTGGTGCACGCTTATGATCCCAGCTACTCGGGAAGCTAAGGCTGGAGAATCACATGAACCTGGCAGGCAGAGGTTGCAGTGAGCCAAGATCACGCCACTGCACTCCAGCCTGGGTGATAGAGCGAGACCCTGTCTCAAAAAAAACAAACCACTGATTTAAGAATCCTGGCCAGGCGCAGTGGCTCACGCCTGTAATCCCAGCACTTTGGGAGGCCGAGGCAGGCAGATCATGAGGTCAGGAGATCGAGACCATCCTGGCTAACATGGTGAAACCCCGTCTCTACTAAAAATACAAAAAAATTAGCCGGGCGGGGTGGCGGGTGCCTGTAGTCCCAACTACTCAGGAGGCTGAGGCAGGAGAATGGTGTGAACCCGGGAGGCGGAGCTTGCAGTAAGCTGAGATCGCACCACCGCACTCCAGCCTGGGCGAAAGAGCGAGACCCTGTCTCAAAAAAAAAAAAAAAAAAAAAAGAATCCTCTCTGTGGTGTCCTGTCCTCTTCCAGCAATGGAAAACACATTTCTATTTACTTTCCCTTTTTTTTTTTTGAAACAGTCTCACTTTCGCCTAGCCTGAGTGCAGTAGCACAATCACAACTTAGCTCACTGTAGCCTCGAACTTCCTGGCTCAAGAGATCCTCCTACCTCAGCTTCCCAAGTAGCTGGGACTACAGTCATATGCCACCAAGCCCAACTAATTATTTTTTGGAAGAGACAGGGTCTCACTATGTTGCCCAGGCTGGTCTCAAGTGATCTCCTGCCTTGGCCTTCCAAAGTACTGGGATTACAGGCATGAGCCACCGCGCTTGACCTCCCCCGCCACCACTCCACCTTTGAGACCGTCACGCTCTATCACCCACGCTGGAGAGCAGTGGCATGATCACGGCTCATTGCAACCTTGGAACTCCTGGGCTCAAGCCATCCTCCTGCCTCAGCCTCCTGAGTAGCTGAGACCACAGTGCCATGACACCAGGCTAACTTTTTATTTTCTATAGAAGCAAGGTCTTGTTACATTGCCCAGGCTGGTTTCTAACTCCGACCTTCAAGCAGTTCTTTCACTTTGGCCTCCCAAAGTGCTGGGATTACAGGTGTGAGCCACTGCACCTGGCCAATATCACAATTCTGCGGTTCATTCTGGGATTTCTCCTTTTTATCTTATTATTTTTTTGAGACAGAGTCTCACTCTGTCCCTCTGGCTGAAGTGCAGTGGTGCGATCTCGGCTCACTGCAACCTCTGCCTCCCAGGTTCAAGTGATTCTCCTCCCTTAGCCTCCCAAGTAGCTGGGACTACAGGTGTGCATCACCACGTCCGGATAATTTTTGTATTTTTACTAGAGACGGGATTTCACCATGTTGGCCAGGCTAATCTCGAACTCCTGACCTCAGATGACCCACCCGCCTCGGCCTCCCAAAGTGCTGGGATTACGAGCATGAGCCACAGCACTCGGCCAGATTTCTCTTTTTTAAAAAGTGTTCTAGAAAATTCATAATTCTTCAACTTACAGGGTCATAAGTGAGTCCTTCATGACATCTTTCTCAAACCACCAGTCCCTCCTCCTTCCTTATCCACAGCTGATAGTTTTCCTTCGCATTTCACTGAGGAGGTAGAAGCAATCTGAATACAACTTCCACACCGACACTTGGCTTTTCCTTGCTCGGATCTCATGATACGTGTGCACTTGCTGCCTGTGCCGACAGTGATGCCCTTCTCTCACATTTCTACATGGTTCCTTCAGTTACTGTATTCAGATATGTGCCTTTCCAGATCCCTCTACTGGGAAGTGTACTGCCTCCCATTATATGTCCTCCTTATGGTGTGCGAGATAAGAGAAAGATTTTTTTTTCTTTTTTTGAGACAGAGTCTCACTCTGTCGCCCAGGCTGGAGTGCAGTGGTGTGATCAAGACTCACAGCAACCTCCACCCCGGGTTCAAGCGATTCTCCTGCCTCAGCCTCTCAAGTAGCTGAGATCACAGGCGCCCGCCATGATGCCCGGCTAATTTTTGTATTTTTAGTAGAGAAGGGGTTTCACCATGTTGGCTAGGCTGGTCTCGAACTCCTGACCTCAAGTGATCCACCCGCCTCGGCCTCCCAAAGTGCTGGGATTCCAGGCGTCAGCCACCGCGCCCGGTCGGTGATATATATATATATATATATATATATATATTTTTTTTTTTTTTTTTTTTTTTTTTTTGAGGCGGATTCTCGCTCTGTCGCCCAGGCTGGAGTGCAGTGGCGCGATCTCGGCTCACTGCAAGCTCCACCTTCTGAGTTCACGCCATTCTACTGCCTCAGCCTCCAGAGTAGCTGGGACTACAGGCGCCCACCACCACGCCCGGCTTATTTTTTGTATTTTTAGTAGAGATGGGGTTTCACCGCGTTAGCCAAGATGGTCTCGATCTCCTGACCTCGTGATCCACCCGCCTTGGCCTCCCAAAGAGCTGGGATTACAGGCGTGAGCCACGGCACCCGGCCTGTTTTATATATTTTTTAACACCACCACGTCCCCATATTATTCACGTTAAGCTCCTTGAGGTCAAAGACTTTGCTATATTCACTCTGGCCCCTCGGACATCTAGAACAAAACTTGGTCTTACGTGGTGGGAGCTCAGGAAATACTTCATGCGTCAATGAATGATTCCCGCCCCCGTTGCTACACAGACCTGCCCAAGTCCTCTTTACCTCGCTGACTCTCTGAATATTTGAAGACGCCCCCTAATTTTTCTCCACCCCTTCTTAAATTATTCCTCAAGGGACCTGGATTCTAGCTGCCCGAGCACTGACAGCGAAACCGGGCACTTCCTGGTATTCGGATATGCGCAGCGCCAAGCGCAGCCGCACCCACTGCTGGCCTCACGCCGTCTGATTGGCTGCAGCTCTCCGGAGGGGCGGGGCCATCCGAGAAGCTATCCATATTGGAGGAGGCTGCTAGTCCTTTGCTGGTACCTGCCGGGCTGGAGAGCGGGGAGGGTCACGTGGTTAAGACTCGCCACGTGGGCCGGGCGCGGTGACTCAAGCCTGTAATCCCAGCACTTTGGGAGGCAGAGGCGGGCGGATCACTTGAGACAGGCCTGGCCAACCTGGTGACTCTACTAAAAATACAAAAAATTAGCCGGGAGTGGTGGCGCGCGCCTGTAATCCCAGCTACTCGGGAAGCTGAGGCAGAAGAATCGCTTGAACTCGGGAGACTGTAGGTGCCGTGAGCCGAGGTCGCGCCACTGCACTCCAGCCTGGGAGAAAGACTCGCCTAAGCAGTTTCTCTCTTTTCTTTTGCATTTTTAATCTTAGACTTTTGGAGATGTTGAAATGGTCGCTGAAACACTGCAAACACAGGGATGGGGGACAGATCCCAAAGTATAGCAGCTACTCATGAGTCCCAGCGCCCCTCCTGTCCTTCCCCTACTGCTGCCTAAGTGGTCTTCCTAAAACACAAGTTTGCACTTGTCAGAACCACTCCTTAAGATCTCTCATGGGTTGCCCTCGTCTCCAAATAAAGATACTAACCACTGAGCTGGCCACGGTGTCTCACGCCTGTAATAGCAGCAGCACCTGGGGAGGCCAAGGCGGAGGACGTTTCACTTGAAGCCAGGAGTTCGAATGTGTGTGTGTCTGTGTGTGTGTGTCTGTGTGTGTGTGTGTGTGTATATATATATATATATATATATATATATGCCGGGCACGGTGACTCACGCCTGTAATCCCAACACTTTGGGAGGCCAAGGTGGGTGGATCACCTGAGGTCAGGAGTTCAAGACCAGCCTGGCCAACATGGTGAAACCCTGTCTCTACTACAATACTAAAAATACAAAAATTAGTCGGGCATGGTGGCAGGAGCCCGTAATCCCAGCTATGTAGGAGGCTGAGGCTGGAGAATCACTTGAACCCAGGAGGCGGAGGTTGCAGCGGCCAGAGATTGTGTCATTGCACTCCAGCCTGGGTGACAAGAGCAAAACTCCGTTTCAAAATAAATAAATATATATGTATATATATATAATATACATAATATATAATATATATTATATATATTTTTTATATATGGGGGGGGCAAGGTCTTGCTATGTTGCCCAGGCTGGATTAGAACTCTTGGGCTCAAATGATCCTCCTGCCTCAGCCTCCAAAGTAGCTGGGATTACAGGTGTCAGCTACTGTGCCCAGCCTATTTTTACATCTTTATTTTTATTTTATTTATTTATTTTTTGAGACGGAATCTCACTTTCTCGCCCAGTCTGAAGTGCAGTGGCGTGATCTTGGCTCACTGCAGCCTCCGCCTTTCCGGTTCAAGTGATTCTCCTCCTTCAGCCTCCTGAGTAGCTGGGATTACAGGCACATGCAAACATGCCTGCCTAATTTTTGTGTGTTTAGTAGAGATGGGGTCTCGCTCTGTTAGCCAGGGTGGTCTTGAACTTCTTTTTTTTTTTTTTGAGGCGGAGTCTCACTCTGTCACCCAGGTTGGAGTGCAATGGCATGGTCTTGGCTCACTGCAACCTCCGCCTCCCGGGTTCAAGTGATTCTCCCGCCTCAGCCTCCCCAGTAGCTGGGACTACAGGCACGTGCCACCACACCCGGCTAATTTTTGTATCTTTATTAGAGACACGGTTTCACTGTGTTGCCCGGTCTGGTCTCGAACTCCTGACCTCATGATCCGCCTGCCTGAGCCTCCCGAAGTGCTGGGATTTCAGGCATGAGCCACCGCACCCAGCTATTTTTACATAATTTAAAAGTACACAAATAGGCCAGGTGCGGTGGCTCACGCCCATAATTCCAACACTTTGGGAGGCCAGGAGTTCGAGACTGGCCTGGCCAACATGGTGAAACCTCATCTCTACTAAAAATACAAAAATTAGCTGGACGTGGTGGTGCACGCCTGTAATCCCAGCTACAAAGGAGACCTGGAGTTGTCTGGATACCTCTGTTTCAGGAAGGCAAAGGCCATAGTGTATTATTTTGGAAAAGGAATTTCCAGTGAAAGATTTTGAACATAAGCACATCATTTGGTCAAATATGTCTAAGTCTTGCTATCTTTTCTTGGCTTTGGAAGAAAAAGAACTTTAGAAGTAGGAGGACACAACCGGGCACGGTGGCTCACACCTGTAATCCCAGCACTTTGGGAGGCCGAGGAACGCGGATCACGAGGTCAGGAGATCCAGACTATCCTGCCTAACATGATGAAACCCTGTCTCTACTAAAAATAGAAAAATTAGCCAGGCGTGGTGGCACGCACCTGTAGTCCCAGCTACTAGGGAGGCTGAGGCAGGAGAATTGCTTGAACCAAGGAGGTGGAGGTTGCAGTGAGCCGAGATTGCACCATTGCACTCCAACCTTGGCAACAGAGTGAGACTCCATCTCAAAAAAAAAAAGAAGGAAAAAAAAGAAGAAGTAAAGAAGTAGGAGGACACATCCTCATTTAGAAAATTGCCTCATTTCCCCGTGATGCTCCAGTGGGTACGAGAGTGAGTGTAATGAAATAGATGGTACATCTGTCAACTCCAAAACTCAAAGGAAACATTCTTTTAAAGAACTGGCTATCTCAAAGTGTTAATAAGATTCTTGGCAAGATTAAATCAACACTGAAATAAAAAGAGCAAGATAAAAACCTATATATTTAAAGAATTTATTTTGAAAGAAAAGCCATACAAATATAATATAAGCTGTTTATTCTTACATTGTATGTGCAAAATCCGAATGAGAAGTACATTCCTGGCCAGGTGCGGTGGCTCACACCTGTAATCCCAGCACTTTGGGAGGCCGAGACAGGCGGATCACAAGGTCAGGAGATCAAGACCATCCTGGCTAACACGGTGAAACCCTGTCTCTACTAAAAATACAAAAAAATTAGCCAGGCGTAGTGGCAGGCGCCTGTAGTCCCAGCTACTCAGGAGGCTGAGGCAGGAGAATGGTGTGAACCCGGGGGGCGGAGCTTGCAGTGAGCCGAGATAGCGCCACTGCACTCCAGCCTGGGCGACAGAGTGAGACTCTGTGTCAAAAAAAAAAAAAAGAGAAGTACATTCCTGATGTGTGTTTGTCAGCTATTGTTGTGATATTGCTGCATAACAAATCACCCCAAATTCAGTAGAGAACAATAGTGACCATTTATCCTCATGCTCATGGATCTGCAGGTTGACTGAGGTGGGCTGATCTAGGCTTGGCTCAGTCTAATGGCTCTGCTTCAGCTGCAGGTCAACCGGGCATGGCTGTACTTTAGGTCCAGGTCTGCTTAAAATGTCTCTTATTCTCCTTGCACCAACTGCTCCCTAGAGCAGGAGATCCAAGCCAAGTCAAACAGCACATTTAAGGCCACTCCTCTCTTCACATCCTTATATGATCCATTGACCAAAGCAAGACACATGGCCAAGCTCCACATGAACAAGGCAGAGAAAATATTCTACTCATAGTGGAAGAATTGTAGACCTACATGTCAAATGAGAAGGATATAACACAGCAAGAGCATGTGCCGGGCACGGTGGCTCACACCTGTAATCGTAGCACTTTGGGAGGCAGAGGCAGGCAGATCACGAGGTCAGGAGATCAGAACCATCCTGGCTAACACGGAGAAAACCTGTCTCTACTAAAATTACAAAAATTAGCCGGGCATAGTGGTGGGTGCCTGTAGTCTCACCTACTTGGGAGGCTGAGGCAGGAGAATCGCTTGAACCCAGGAGGCGGACATTGCAATGAGCCGAGATTGCACTACTGCACGCCAGCCTGGGCAACAGAGTGAGATTCCGTCTCAAAAACAAACAAACAAAATACAGCAAGATCATGAATAATTGGGATAAATGAACAATAATTCAATCTACCATAAAGTATAAAGAAAATAGAATATAAGAAGAAATATTCTTCCTATAAGAATATAAGAGGCTGGGCGCGGTGGCTCATGCCTGTAATCCCAGCACTTTGGGAGGCCAAGGCAGCGGATCACCTGAGGTCGGGAGTTCGAGACCAGCCTGACCAAAATGGAGAAACCCCGTCTATACTAAAAATACAAAATTAGCCAAGCATGGTGGCACATGCCTGTAATCCCAGCTACTTGGGACGCTGAGGCAGGAGAATTGCTTGAACCTGGGAGGCAGAGGTTGCGGTGAGCTGAGATCGCACCATTGCACTCCAGCCTGGGCAACAAGAGCGAAACTCCATCTCAAAAAATAATTTAAGAATGAGGCTGGGTGCAGTGGCTCCTGCCTGTCATCCTAGCACTCTGGGAGGCCCAGGTGGGCAGATCACTTGAGGTCAGGAGTTGAGACTAGCCTGGGCAACATTGTGAAACCCTCTCTCCACCAAAAAATACAAAAATTAGCGCAGGATTTCTTGGAATTTCTTTCAGAGACTTCGTGCTGCAAATCACACTGCAAGGTGGTGCACGCCTGTAGTCCTCAGCTGCTCAGGAGGCTGAGGCAGGAGAATGGCTTGAACCTGGGAGGTGGAGATTGCAGTGAGCAGAGATTGCACCACTGCATTTCAGCCTGGGCAACAGAGTGAGAGAGAGTCTGTCTCAAGAAAAAAAAAAAAAGAAGAAGAATGTAAGAGTGATAGAAGTAGCCAAAAAATTGGATCTACCTAAAAGGTAATCTTATGAACAGCTTGAGACCTAAGAAATCTGTTTCAAAATCTGCTTTGCAAAACAATTTTCATGGCTGGGTGTGGTGGCTCACACCTATAATCCCAGCACTTCGAGAGGCTGAGACAGGCAGATCACTTGAGCCTAGGAGTTGGAGACCAACCTGGGCAACATGGCAAAACCCTGTCTCTACAAAAAATACAAACGAAGTAGCCAGGTGTGGTGGTCCATGCCTGTAGTCCCAGCTACTTGTGAGACTGAGGCGGGAGGATTTCTGGAGCCCAGGAGGCCCAGGCTGCAAAGAGCTGTGAGTGTGCCAGCTGCACTCCAGCCTGGGGACAGAGCAAGACCCTGTCTCAAAACAACAACAGCAATGAAAACAAGTTATCTGTCTCTGGCAGCGTCAAACACACAGAAATTAAAATCTGGCAGGATTTCTTGGAATTTCTTTCAGAGACTTCATGCTGCACATCATTCAGATGATTAAAGTTCCAGGTCACTTTCTTTTTTTTTTTTTTTCTTTTGAGATGGAGTCTTGCTCTGTTGCCAGGCTAGATTGCAGTGGTGCCATCTTGGCTCACTGCATCCTCTACCTCCCTGGTTCAAGTGACTCTCCCACCTCAGCCTCCCGAGTAGCTGGGACTACAGGCATGAGCCACCACAGCTGACTAATTTTTGTATTTTTAGTAGGGATGGGGTTTTGCCATGTTGGCCAGGCTGGTCTCAAACTCCTGACCTCAGGTGAACCACCCACCTCGGCCTCCCAAAGTGCTGGGATTACAGGCGTGAGCCACTGCACCCGCCCTGCCAAGATCACTTTCTTGCAACATATTGTTACAAAACTTTTGTGAGCTGAATGGGGTTATATGACTTTAGCATTCCACAACCTCTCTTCCATAGCTCTGTATTCAGATACCAGCCACAGAATTCCGTTGTTCCACTTCAATACTCACATTATCCCAGTATTTTTTGGAAGGCCCAGGAGTCATGAAAATTCAGCCTGGAAAACTTTGGACACCTTGGGTGAAATGCAGCAGCCTGGAAGTCAGATTGCAGTATCCAGTCCAGCCATTTCACTTGCTGACCCTGTGACCTTCACAGAGTCACGTGACCTCTCCTTATCTTTAAAATGAAAAACTTGAGGCCGGGCGTGGTGACTCAGTCTCTACTAAAAATATAAAAATTACCCAGGTGTGGTGGCGTGTGCCTGTAATCCCAGCAGTTCAGGAGGCTGAGACACAAGAATCACTTGAGCCTAAGAGGTGGAGGTTGCAGTGAGCTGAGGTCACACCATCACACTCCAGCCTGGGCAACAAAGTGAGACTCCATCTAAAAAACAAAAACAAAAAGAAATAATACAGAGATCCTGGTGTACCCTTTACCCAATTTTCCCCCAATGGTAACATCTTGCAAAACTATACAATATCATAATCACAGTATTGACATCCATATAGTCAAGATACAGTACATTTCTATTACCAGGACCTACAAGGATGCCTTAGTCCTTTTATAGCTGCACACATTTCCCTCCCACTCCCACCCTCTCTTTAATCTCTGGCAACCACTAATCTGTTCTCCATTTCTCAATTTTGCTTGCCATGTAACATAACACATTCACAGGTTCTGAGGATTAGAATGTGGACATCACTGGCCGGGCACGGTGGCTCACGCTTGTAATCCCAGCACTTTGGGAGGCCAAGGCGGGTGGATCACGAGGTCAGGAGATCAAGACCATCCTGGCTAACACGGTGAAACCCCGTCTCTACTAAAAATACAAAAAATTAGCCAAGCACGGTGGTGGACGCATGTAGTCCCAGCTACTCTGGAGGCTGAGGCAGGAGAATGGTGTGAACCCAGGAGGCGGAGCTTGCAGTGAGCTGAGATCGTGCCACTGCACTCCAGCCTGGGTGACAGAGCAAGACTCTGTTAAAAAAAAAAAAAAAAGAATGTGGACATCACTGAGGATGGGGGTGTAGTGGTATTATTTAGCCTATCACAAAGTCGCATTGCAAACATCCCTTCCTCCAGGAGCCTTCTATACAAATCACTGCCACCAACCCAAATTAATTAAGCCATGCTACTTTTTTTTGAGATGGAATCTCACTCTGTCACCAGGCTGGAGTGCAGTGGTGCAATCTTGGCTCACTGCAGCCTCTGCCTCCTGGGTTCAAGCGATTCTCCTGCCTCAGCCTCCCAAGTAGCTGGGACTACAGGCGTGCGCCACCATGCCCAGCTAATTTTTGTATTTTTAATAGAGACGGGTTTTCACCATGTTGGCCAGGATGGTCTCGATCTCTTGAGCTTGTGATCCACCCGCCTCAGCCTCCCAAAGTGTTGGGATTACAGGCGTGAGCCACTGCACCTGGCCAAGTCACAGTACTTTTAAGTGTACTTTCTAATACCTACCATTAACCATAAACCAAATGTAAAGTTAATTATGTGACAGTTTCAATGTACAATTTTGAGAATTAGGGTTTTTTTTTTTTTTTTTTTTGAGACAGAGTTTCGCTCTTGTTGCCCAGGCTGGAGTGCAATGGCACGATCTCAGCTCACTGCAACCTCCACCTTCTGGGTTCAAGTGATTCTCCTGCCTCAGCCTCCCAAGTAGCTGGGATTATAGGTGTGCGCCACCACGCCTGGCTAATTTTTGTATTTTTAGTAGAGATGGGGTTTCACCATGTTGGTCAGGCTGGTCTCGAGCTCCTGACCTCGTGATCCGCCTGCCTTGGCCTCCCAAAGTGTTGGGATTACAGGCGTGAGCCATCACGCCCGGCTGTTGTTTTGTTTTGTTTTGTTTGTTTGAAACAGGGTCTTACTTCTTCACCTAAGCTGAAGTGCAGTAGCACCATCTTGTCTCACTGCAACCTCTGCTTCGCAGACTCAAGTGATTCTCTAGCCTCATCCTCTCGCATAGCTGGGACTAACAGGTGTGAGCCACTAATTCCCAGCTAATTTTTGTATTTTGTAGACACAGGGTTTTGCTACTTTGCCCAGGCTGGTCTTGAACTCCTGGGCTCAAAGCAATCTGCCTGCCTAGGCCTCCCAAAGTGCTAGGACTCCAGGCGTGAACCACTGCACCGGGCCAAGAATTTGTTTTTGTTTTTGTTTTTGAGATGGAGTCTCGCTCTGTCGCCCAGGCTAAAGTGCAGTTGTGCAATCTTGCCTCACTACAACCTCCACCTACTGAGTTCAAGTGATACTCCTGCCTCAGCCTCCCTATAGCTGAGATTACAGGTGCATGCCACCACTCCTGGCTATTTTTTGTACTTTTAGTAGAGACAGGTTTTCACCATGTTGGCCAGGCTGGTCTTAAACTCCTGACCTCAAGTGATCCACCCATCTTGGCCTCCCAAAGTGCTGGGATTACAGGAGTGAGCCACTGCACCCAGCCAGCTTTTTTGTTTTTGTCTTTTCTTTGAGACATGGTCTTGCTCTGCTGCTCAGACTAGGGTGGCAGTGGTGCAATCATAGCTCACTGCAGCCTCAAATTCCTGGGCTCAAGTGATCTTCCTGCCTCAGCCTCTCAAGTAGCTAGGATCCTGTGGGCGTGTCACCACGCATTGCAATAATTGGCTTTTTTATAACTACACGGTACCTTACAGTTTTCGATAATAATTATCCCTATGTAACAAACATCATGCAATAGAACAAATGAGATTTTCTTGTTGGGGGGCGGGGTGTGGAGCTTGAATTCTAAAAACGCAGATTTCGAAGGAGGACTCCTCCCTGATGTCTGTACTCACCAGAATATAAGCTTCATAAAGGCATGGATGCCCACGGTCATACCTAGAGCAGACTCCCATAAATACACACTTATTAAATCAATGAATAAATAAATGAATGGATGGATTAAGCAAATGCTTCTGACTAGAAGTGTCAGAGCATGGGCAAGGTTGAGAGGCAGCAGCCCTAAAATTAAACAGTGATAATAACAAAGCTAGCAGCTTCCACTTATCAAGCACTTCCTGTGTGCTGCACACAAATAATGTTGCAAACCCTCATTATAACACTATAAATTGGGTGCATCACCCAGGCTGGAGTGCAGTGGCATGATCGTGGCTCACTGCAGCCTCGATTTCCTGAGCTCGGGTGATCCTCCCACCTCAGCCTCCCAAGTAACTGGGACTACAGGTATGCACCATGATGCTGGGCTAATTTTTCTATTTGTTGTAGAGATGGAGTTTCACCATTTTCTCAAACTCCTTGGCTCAAGTGATCCTCCTGCCTGAGCCTCCCAGAGAGCTGGGATTACTAGCTTGAGATGGAACAAGGTAAACTGGTTTCCACAGTGGCTGCACCATTTTACATTCTCATCAGCAATGTACAAGGATTCCAGTTTTTCCCACATCCTCTCCAATGCTTGTCATCTTCCTTTTTTTTTTTTTTTTTTTGGAGATGGAGTCTTGCTCTGTCACCCAGGCTGGAGAGCAGTGGCGCAATCTCAGCTCACTGCAACCTCCGCCTTCTGGGTTCAAGTGATTCTACGGCCTCAGCCACCTGAGTAACTGGTATTACAGTTACTCGGCTCACTGCAACCTCTGCCTCCCAGGTTCAAGCGATTCTCTTGCCTCAGCCTCTTGAGTAGCTGATATTACAGTTACTCGGCTCACTGCAACCTCCGCCTCCCAGGTTCAAGCGATTCTCTTGCCTCAGCCTCCTGAGTAGCTGGGAGTACAGGCATGCACCACCACACCCAGCTAATTTTTGTATTTTTACTAGAGACAGGGTTTTACCATATTGGCCAGGCAATCTCGAACTCCTGACCTCATGATCCGCCCTCCTTGGCCTCTCAAAATGCTGGGATTACAGGTGTGAGCCACCGAGCCCAGCCCGACCAGCTAATTTTGTCTCTACTAAAAAGTAGAGACAGGGTTTCACCATGTTGGCCTGGCTGGTCTTGAACTCCTGACCTCAGGTGATCCACCCACCTTGGCCTTCCAAAGTGTTGGGATTACAGGTGTGAGCCACTGTGCCCAGCCTAAAATCAACCATTTTAAAGTGGACAATTCAGTGACATTTAGTACATTCACAACGTGGTGTACCATTTCTGTCTAATTCAGGACAAATTTTATCATCTCAAAATAAAACCTTGTTGTGCCTATCAGGTAGTTACCAATGTTTCCCAATTTTAACAGATTAAGAAATGGACTAAGACAATAGGAAAAGTGCTGGCTGGGAGCCATGGCTCACACTTGTAATCCCAACTTTTTGGGAGGTCGAGGTAAGAGGATTACTTGAGCCTAAGAGTTGGAGACCAGCCTGGGTAACATAGTGAGACCCTCATCTCTATAAAAAATACAAAATAAGCTGAGTGTGGTGGTGTGCACCCGTAATCCCAGCTACTCGGGAGGCTGAGGTGGGAGGATTGCTTGAGCCTGGGAGGTCCAGGTTGCAGTGAGCCATGATTGTGCCACTGCACTCTAGCCTGGGTGTCAGAGCAATATCCTGTCTCAAAAAAAAAAAAAAAAAAAAAGAAAAAGAAAAAGAAAAAAAGTGCTAAGGACCCACAACAAAATTTTTAATATTAAAATTAAAAAATGAGGCTGGGTGCGATGGCTCATGCCTGTAATCCCAACACTTCGGGAGGCCGAGGCAGGAGGATCACTTGAGCCCCCGAATTTGGGATCAGCCTGGCCAACATGACGAAACCCTGTCTCTCTAAACAAAAATACAAAATTTAGCCAGGCGTGGTGGCCAGTGCTTGTAATTGAAGGCACTGGAGAGGCTGAGGCAAGAGAATCGTTTGAACCCGGTAGGCGGAGATTGCAGTGAGCCGATATCGCGGGCCACTGCACTCCAGCCTGGGCCACAGAGTGAAACTCTGTCTCAAAGGAAAAAAAGGAAAAGAATATAATAATAATGAATTCAGCTTGGATTTATAAATATAAATGTGTTAATATAAAGACAATAGTCTTTATACCAATACGGTTGTAAAATAAAATTCTTAATTTTTTATGGAGAAAAGGGTCAGTCCACTGAGGCAAAAGTGCTTGGGGCTCACGAAAGCCTCGAAGCTCTGCCACTACCATCCACACTGCAAAAATCCTTTGAAAACAAAATTGAGGCAAGCTCGTTTTTTTTTTTTTTCTTGAGACGGAGTCTCGCTCTGTCGCCCAGGCTGGAGTGCAGTGGCGCTATCTCAGCTCACTGCAAGCTCTGCCTTCCGGGTTTACGCCATTCTCCTGCCTCAGCCTCCAGAGTAGCTGGGACTACAGACGCCCGCCACCACGTCCGGCTAATTTTTTTGTATTTTTAGTAGAGACGGGGTTTCACCGTGTTAGCCAGGATGGTCTCGATCTCCTGCCCTCGTGATGCGCACGTCTCCGCCTCCCAAAGTGCTGGGATTACAGGCGTGAGCCACCGCGCCCAGCCAAGCAAGCTCGTTCTTAAATGCTAGGCTAATTCTGCCCCCTAGCGGCCACAGAGAAATCTCAGAAATTAATGCCCCCAGTTGTTGAGTAATTCGCACCTACCAGGTGCCTTGAACTTACGCTGCATTATTTTGTCCTCACAATTCCATGAGGTTAAGTGATATCCAAATGTATAGATAAGCTGCCGAAGATTCGAGTGCTTAAGTCGGTTTGTTGTTGTTTTTTTTTGAGACGGGGTCTCAAAAGACAGGATCTTACGGAAGTTAATGCTGTTTCCTACTGAAGGAGGCACAGCGAGCGCAAGCCTTGGTGGGCAGGAAGCGTGCTTTAAAGTTTGAGACTGTCAGGCCCGGCGCGGTGGCTCACGCCTGTAATCCTGGCACTTTGGGAGGCCGAGGCGGGCAGACTTGAGGTCAGCAATTTGAGACCAGTCCGGCTAACATGATGAAAACCCGTTTCTACTAAAAATTCGAAAATTAGCTGGGTGTGTGGCACGCCTGTAGTCCCAGCTACTCGGAAGGCTGAGGCAGGAGAATCGCTTGAACCCGGGAGGTGGAGGCTGCAGTGAGCCGAGATCGCATCTCTGCACTCCAACCTGGGCAACAGAGTGAGGCTCTGTCTCAAAAAATAAAGTTGGAGACTTTTATTCTAAAAGCATTCAGTGAGCCATTTATTTATTTATTTTCCTGTAAGCTTGGAAAAATAGGTTCTTCCCCACCCATCTACATGACAGTAATGAGCAAATATCCTTATCAGATAATACATGATTTGCAAACATTTTCTTTCATTCTGTGGGTTGCCTTTTCTCTCTCTCTCTCTTTTTTTTAAGGCAGAGTTTCACTCTTGTTGCCCAGGCTGGAGTGCAATGGTACGATCTCGGCTCACCACAACCTCCACCTCCCATATTCAAGTGATTCTCTTGCCTCAGCCTCCCGAGTAGATGGGATTACAGGCTTGCGCCACCACATGCGGCTAATTTTTGTATTTTTACTACAGACAGGGTTTCACCACGTTGGCCAGGCTAGTCTCCAACTCCTGATCTCAGGTGATCTGCCCGCCTTGGCCTCCCAAAGTGCTGGGGTTACAGGCGTGAGACACCGCGCCCAGCGTCTTTTCACTCTCTTGATAGTGTTCTTTGATGCACAAAAGTTTTAATTTCGAAGTATATCTTTTTGTTGTTTTTGTTGTTGTTGCCTGTGCTTTTAACGTCATATACAAGAAATCATTGCTAAATCCAACGTCATGAAGATTTCCCCTATGTTTTCGTCTAAGAGTATTATAGTTTTAGCTCTTCAGTTTACATCTCTGATCCATTTTGAATGAATTTTTGTATATGGTGTAAGGCTGCACTTTACTTTTTGTATATGGATATTCAGTTTTCCCAATGCACTTCATTTGGAAATAATTTCCCCCCATTCCCTGCTGGTTTACTACTCTCAATTGGATAGTAAAACCAATTAAACCAATATGTATTTTTTTTTTAAATGGTGTCTCACTCTGTCTCCCAGGCTGGAGTGCAATGGCATTATCTCAGCTCACTGCAACCTCCCCCTCCCGGGTTCAAGCAATTCTCGTACCTCAGCCTCTGGAGTAGCTGGGATTACAGGCAGGCGCCACTATGCCCAGCTAATTTTTGTATTTTTAATAGAGATGGGGTTTCACCATGTTGGCCAGGCTGGTCTCGAACTCCTGACCTCAGGTGATCCGCCCGCCTTGGCCTCCCAAAGTGCTGGGATCATAGGGTGAGCCACGGTGCCCAGCCTCTTAAAAAAAAAAAAAAAGAGATGGAGTCTCACTATGTTGTCCAGGCTGGTCTCTTTTTTACTTCCTTTTTTTTTTTTTTTTTTTTTTTGAGACGGAGTCTCACTCTGTCACCCAGGCTGGAGTGCAATGGCGCGATCTCGGCTCGCTGCAAGTCCGCCTCCCGGGTTCACGCCATCCTCCTGCCTCAGCCTCCAGAGTAGCTGGGACTACAGGCGCCCGCCACCACGCCCGGCTAATTTTTTTTGTATTTTTAGTAGAGATGGGGTTTCATCGTGTTAGCCAGGATGGTCTCAATCTCTTGACCTCGTGATCCGCCCACCTCGGCCTCCCAAAGTGCTGAGATTACAGGCGTGAGCCACCGCGCCCGGCCCAGGCTGGTCTCAACTCCTTGGCTCAAGCTATCCTCCCACCTCAGCCTCCCAGTGAGTGGGGATTGCAGGCGTGAGCCACTGCGCCCGGCCAAAACCAATTCTATACATTTGTTTTTTTCTTTTCCGACTTTTGAAAACCATGACAAAGGGAGGTTTCTTCCCCCCAATACCAAACCTGGTGCCTTTTAAGCTCTCTGTAGGAGCTGAGTATGCCCTAGTTGAACTTAAGCCAACTACACAGAAATACCTGCAGGGACCAGGGAGCATATTCCTCCTCCTGTCAAATGCCTGGTGAAGGCAACTGTGATTATCAGCTTAGCAGATGAAAAAGTAGGGCTGCATTCCTTCAGTTGTTGGACCCAAATTCTGCCAGATTCTGACAAAGGGCTTAAAAGGAAGAATGTTTAGGCCAGGTGCGGTGGCTCACGCTTGTAATCCCAGCATTTTGAGAAGCCGAGGCGGGCGGATCACGAGGTCAGGAGATCGAGACCATCCTGGCTAACATGGTGAAACCCCGTCTCTACGAAAAATATATATAAAAAAATTAGCCGGGCGTTGTGGCGGGCGCCTGTAGTCCCAGCTACTCGGGAGGCTGAGGCAGGAGAATGGCGTCAACCCGGGAGGCGGAGCTTGCAGTGAATCGAGATCGCGCCACTGCACTCCAGCCTGGGCGACAATGAGAGACTCTGTCTCAAAAAAAAAAAAAAAAGAAGAAGATGTTTAGGACATGGTTTTTGGAGTCAGAGACGTATGTTCAAATTCTGGCTTCACTATTTTATAGTCTTTGGGCATATGCCCTTTATGTACCCTTGAAGATGTTGCTTAACCTTCCTGAGCCTCAGGTACCTCATCTTTAAAATGGGGATAATGTCTCGGGCCTAGCTGCGAGTCTCTAGTCAGTGCTCAGTAAAAAGTAGCAGACATGATTGAAAACTCGTTTTCCTCTTACAATTGAAGATAGGAACCTTTTCAAGAGCAAGCACCAGGCACCGAATTTAACGACTGGTTGCATTTCTAGGTGATCCAAGACCGTTTGCCCCCGGTCTCCCTGGCAGCACAGCGGTAGGAGATAAGAATGATATGACACCATGCTTGCAAAGTGCTCACAACACACTCCGGCGCTTAAAAAACGAGAGCTGAGTCATGGATGCCCAGTTTCCCCATCCGTAAAATGAGCAAGTTCGATCACTTGAAACGACATTCTTGGATCTTGGATGACTCAGATTTTCCAGGTACATGAGGAAAGGCACCCAGAGGGAAGGAGGAGGAGTGGCAGTGCTGCGACCAAGCCCAGGTTTAGCGAAACCTACAGCTCCACTAGTTCCCCTACCTCCGCAGGTGCCAAGCGGGTTAGGTGGGGAGTAGCCACAGGGCGGAGCTTAGTCGGCTCCGCCCCCAACCCGCGCTTTTCTCATTGGCCCACTGAACTCGAGACTCGTGACGCCTTAAGCGTGCGCCCAGCGTGTGAAGGGGGCGTGGCACGCTGAGAAGGAGCAGACAAGATGGCGACGTCCGTGGGGCACCGATGTCTGGGATTACTGCACGGGGTCGCGCCGTGGCGGAGCAGGTATAGCAGCGCGGAGAGACTACCTTGGGGCGTGGGGCAACCTGGACCAAGCTGGGGTCTGAAGAGAGATGTTTCTGTGTCGCGGGCTCGCTCTGAGGCGAGCTCGGGTGGAGACGGAGCCACCTTCACCTCGAGCTTAGGAGCAGGTGCGACTGCTCCTGCGTAGGGCGGTCCGGATTTACTTAGGGTGTGGCCTAGAAGCTCGCGCTTTGCCCTTTCCAGCTAGGTGGAAGTTCACGAGGGACAAAAATCAGATGAAATAGGCTACCTGCCCGTCTCTTGAGTCGAGGCAGGGCTTTCAGATGTTCAGATGCCATTTTCTCGTGTGTTCGTTTTCGTAGAAGGAATGATGTCCTGTGGGAAGGACACTAGATTGAGTGTCAGGCAACTTTCATTTCTGGATCTTAGTCTTTGAAGCTAGAGGGTTAGGTTAGGTAATCTCAAAACAATATGTTATGGGGCTAGAGTCTTGGTTACCCTTGTGACCCCCAGCTGTTAGATTCTTAGAAATGTGGGAGACTTGAGGGGTCTTCTGAGTCCAGCTGTCTCTCTTTGGAGTTAATGAGATTGAGGCTCCGAGAGAGGGAGGGATTTGCTCAAGTTCACCTAGCCAGTTTGTAGCAGAGCCCGGACCCCCATCAAGGTACCCCCTCACGCGACGATCTTTCTCTCAGGCTGCCCGCCGTGAGGGCAGTGGTTATACAGAAAATAGCTTAGAGCATTTGGAGTGTCGGAAAATGGATTAAAATGTAGCTGTGATTCAGAGTCGGCTGCCTGGTGTCATTTCAAAGAGCTAAGATTTGAGAGATGCGCCATACTTGTGTGTTTCCTACAGGGTTCATTTTGTCAGCGTTGATCAGAGGATAACCTATTGTTTTGGGAGGAGACGGACACTGGATTTGGACTGAGAGGGAACAGAAACCATCATTGGTCTTGTTATGAAAGCGTCACTCTTTCATCATTAACTGTACAGAAATGATTATCTCTCAGGAGAGGGCTCTGCATTGTGGTGGTAACTGTTAGAATTTGGGCAGGAGACTTTGTTTTCAATGTTATTACCAGGCGTGCTGTGTATGAGTCAACCCTGAATTCATTTAAAGTGTGTCACAGGCTGGGCGCGGTGGCTCACGCCTGTAACCTCAGCACTTTGGTAGGCCAAGGTGGGTGGATCACTTGAGGTCAGGAGTTCGAGACCAGCCTGGCCAATGTGGTGAAACCCTGTCTCTACTAAAAAATACAAAAATTAGCCGGGCATGGTGGCAGGCACCTGTAATCCCAGCTACTTGGGAGGCTGAGGCAGGAGAATTGCTTGAACCTGGGAGGCGGAGGTTGCAATAAGCCAAGACTGCGCCGCTGGAGTCCAGCCTGGGCGACAGAGTGAGACTCTGTCTCAAAAAAATTAAAAATAAATAAAGTGTGTCACGAATTGAAAGGACTAAAATGAGACTCTTAAAAAATTGTTTTTTGTTGTTGTTATTTGTTTTGGAAGTCAGAGCCTCACTCTGTTGCCCAAGAGGGAGTGCAGTGGTGTGATGATGGCTCACTGCAGCCTCCACCTCCTGGTCTCAAGCAGTTCTTCCACCTCAGCCTCCTGAGTAGCTAGGACCACAGGTGCACGCCACCCCGCCCAGCTGCATTTTTTTTGGGGGTGGGGGTGGAGACAGGGTTTCACCATGTTGCCCAGGCTGGTGTTGAACTCCTGGGCTCAAGTGATCCACCCACTTTCACCTCTCTAAGTGCTGGCATTACAGAAGTGAGCCATCGCAGTCCACCTAAAATAATTTTTTTAAATGATGAGAGGAGGCTGTACCTCAGTCACCATCATTAAAAGGGAAAGAAAAAAAGCTATGTTTTAGTACCAGTGTAGATAGATAAGGCTAGACTTAGATGCAGTGGGTGAGAGAGATGAAGATTTGGGTACAATAAGAAACCTTAATTTTCAAAGGTATTCTATATCAAGATAGAAATGATATTAATACACAAACCAAAAAGATAACATTTCTGTGGGTTTTTAGTAAACCAGTGCCTATTTGTGAGACATGTAAATGAAAACCTTATATTTCAGGTAAGTTTTTCAATAACTGGGTGATGTGTGACAGGTGATAGATAACATCTTGGGTGATAATTTAGGGCCATGTTTCCTAAACTCATTTGATAAAAGAATGGGCTGAATGGGCTGGGATGCTTGTTAGAAATAGAGATTCCTTGGGAGTCTCTCTGAGCCTGCTGTAGTTTGGGAGGCTGGCTGATTAAAAAAAACAAAGCCGGGCACGGTGGCGCATGCCTGTAATCCCAGCACTTTGGGAGGCCAAGGTGGGTGGATCATGAGGTCAGGAGATCGAGACCAGCCTGGCCAACATGCTGAAACCCCGTCTCTAACAAAAATTAGCCGGGTGTGGTGGCGTGTGTCTGTAGTCCCAACTACTCAGGAGGTTGAGGCAGGAGAATCTCCTGAACCCGGGAGGCGGAAGTTGCAGTGAGCCGAGATCACGCCACTGGACTCCAGCTTCGGCAACAGAGCAAGACTCCGTCTCAAAAAAAAAAAGATTCCAGATATGCCCCCATCCTACTGCCAATTTCAGATTCAGTAGATATAAGTTGGGGCTCTGGCAACTGTAGTTTTTACAGGTGATTCTTAGGTTCAGGCAAGTACGGACAATAGTACCTAGGAAGTAGCTTCTCGTGCATGACTTCCATCAGAAATATTTATGGCATCCCTACCACTGCAAACCACACTGTCAACGGACCATAGAGAAGGGAGAAGAGAGAAGGGAAGGGGAGCAAATGAAGAAATTAAAAACATTTGAAATAGGCCTTGTCTTCAAGGAACTTTACTATATACTTGTAATACATGGTGGAATACGGGATAAAGCCTTCAAGAGGTCTGTCCGTTCTGTTTTAGGAGAACTTTCACAGCTTTAGAAAGCAAGGGAGACATAAGGACTATAGGCAAAATGTTACTACTAGGGGTGATGTTAAAAATGTCTTAGGCCTGGGCGTGGTGTCTCATGCCTGTAATCCCAGCATTTTGGGAGGCTAAGGCGGGTGGATTGCATGAGCTCAGGAGTTCAAGACCAGCCTGGGCAACATGGCAAAAACCCATCTGTACAAAAAACACAAAAATTAGCTGGTCATAGTGGTGCATACATGTAGTCCCAGCCACCTGGGAGGCTGAGGTAGGAGGATTGCCTGAGCCCAGGAGGTTGAGGCTGCAGTGAGCCAAGATCATGCCACTGCACTCCAGCCTGGGCAACAGAGTGAGACCCTGTCTCAAAAAAAAAAAAAAAAGAAAAAGAAAAAATAGTGCAACTGGCCAGGTGTGGTGGCTTATGTCTGTAATCTCAACACTTTGGGAGGCTGAGGCAGGAGAATTGCTTGAGCCCAAGAGTTCGAGACCAACCTGAGCAACATAGTGAGACCTCCTCTCCGCAAAAAATGGCTGGGTGCACATCTGTGGTCCCAGCTACTTGGGAAGCTAAGGTGGGAGGTTCACTTGTGCCCAGGAGGTCGAGGCTGCAGTGAGCTGTGATTTCACCACTGCATTCCAGCCTGGGTGACAGAGTGAGACCCTGTCTCAAAAAACAAACAAACAAACAAACAAACTTATAACCAGGATGCCATGGAGACAGACTAGTGAGAGTGAATGCTGGTCATAGATGATTGATATGACCATCTCAGTGTATGTCAGCTGAATATCAACTCTTAATAATAACAGTCTAACTAGGTGCCAGGCCCTGAGCTAAGGTTTTGCATGATTGTCTTCTAATGAGGTGAGTTTTGTTTTTGCAGGTGGAGAAACTGAGGCTTAAGATTAGTTAAGAAATTTCCTAAGGTCACACAGCTGCTAAGAAGTGGCAGCGCTGAGATTTGAGTTGCACAGGCAGACTGGAGTGCTCAATTGTGGGCTTTAATTGCCTACTTGAAGGATGCGATGTAGAATGCATGTAGAAGAGACATCTGTTTGAACCCATCCATTCATCTTTCTGGGGCATACTGTCACTATTGAGATTGAAGGCCAGTGAGAACACAGATAAACCCCGTGTTCATCGAGGTATACATACAGTAAACAAATAACTGAATACATGCAGAATCCATTCATTTTGTGTAATAAGAAATGCCATGAAGAAAAAGAAAGCAAGATAATTAAGAAGTTAGTGCTCAACAGAAAGACAAACTTTGCATGTTCTCACTTATTTGTGGGAGCTGTAAATTAAAACGGTTGAACTCATGGAGATAGTAGAAGGATGGTTACCAGAAGCTGGAAAGGGTAGTGGGGGGATGGGAAGAAATGGGGATGGTTAATGGGTATCAAAAAAATAAAATGGGCTGGGTGCAGTGGCTCACGCCTGTAATCCCAGCACTTTGGAGGCCCAGGCGGGTGGATCACCTGAGGTCAGGAGTTCAACACCAGCGTGGCCAACAAACCCTGTCACTACTAAAACTACAAAAAAAAATTAGCCGGGTGTGGTGGTGTGCTCCTGTAATCCCAGCTACTCAGGAGGCTGAGGTAGGAGAATTCCTTGAACCTGGGAGTCAGAGGTTGCAGTGAGCTGAGATTGCGCCATTGCACTCCAGCCTGGGCAACAGAGCAAGATGCCATCTCAAAAAAATATATAAAATAAAATGAATAAGACCTAGTGTTTGCTAGCACAACAGGGTGACTATTGTCAAAAATAATTTAAAATTATTACATTTAAAAATAACTAAAAGGCTGGGTGCGGTGGCTCACGCCTGTAATCCCAGCACTTTGGGAGGCTGAGGCGGGTGGATCACGAGGTCAGGAGTTCAAGATCAGTCTGGCCAAGAAGGTGAAACCCCATCTCTACTAAAAATACAAAAAATTAGCCAGGCATGGTGGTGGGTGCCTGTAATCCCAGCTACTCGGGAGGCTGAGGCAGAGAATTGCTTGAACCCAGGAGGCGGAGGTTGCGGTGAGCTGAGATCATGCCACTGCACTCCAGCCTGGGCGACAGAGCAAAACTCCATCTCAAAAAAACAAAACAAAACACTAAAAGAGTATAACTGGATTGTTTGTAACACAAAGCTTAAATGCTTGAGGGGATAGATATCCCATTTACCTAATGTGATTATTCCATATTGCGTGCCTGTATCAAACTAGCTCATGTAACACATAGATATATATGCCTACTACATACCCAGAAAAATTTTTTTTAAAAATTAAGAAGTTAGTGTTCAAGAGGGCCAACTCTTGGGCATACAGTGCTCAGGAAAAACTGCACTGAGGAGGTAACATTTGAGCAGAGAACTAAATGATGTGGGAGTGAGCCACATAGGAGAGGGGTGTGCCCAGCATAGCAAACAGCAAATGGAGGAGTGTGGAAAGGGGCACATGTGGTGTGGACAAGGAGCGGCAAGAGGAGTGAGTGAGGAGGAAGAGAGGGAAAGTAGCTAGAGATCTGAGAGGCTGACAAGATGTGGGATCTTGTCTTTCTGTTTTGTTTATTTATTTATTTATTTATTTATTTATTTATTTTTGAGACGCAGTCTTGCTCTGTCACCCAGGCTGGAGTGCAGTGTGCGATCTCGGCTCCCTGCAACCTCCGTCTCCCAGATTCAAGCAATTCTTCTGCCTCAGCGTCCTGAGTAGCTGGGACTATAGGCACCGACCACCACACCTGGCTAATTTTTGTATTTTTAGTAGAGATGGAGTTTCACCATGTTGGTCAGGCCGGTCTCGAACTCCTGACCTCGTGATCTGCCCACCTTGGCCTTCCAACGTGCTGGGAGTTCTCATAGGCGTCAGCCACCATGCCCGGCCTTTATTTTTTTGTTTTTTTCAGACAGAGTCTCGCTCTGTCATGCCCAGGCTGGAGTGCAGTGGTGTGATCTTGGCTCATTGCAACCTCCACCTCCTGGGTTCAAGCAATTCTCCTGCCTCAGTCTCCCAAGTAGCTGGGATTATAGGCCACCACCATCACACCCGTCTAATTTTTTGTATTTTTAGTAGAGACGGGGTTTCACCATATTGGCTGGCTAGTTTTTTGTATTTTTAGTGGAGACGGGGTTTTACCATATTGGCGAGGCTGGTCTCAAACTCCCGACCTCAGGTGATCCACCTGCCTCAGCCTCTCAAAGTGCTGAGATTACAGGCGTGAGCCACTGAGCCTGGCCAGTGGTAGTTTTCATTGCCTTGCCAGTGGATTGAATGTGGATGATGAGAAAGAAAGGACTTAAAAATGAGTCCTGGGCTGGGTGCAGTGGCTCATGCCTGTAATCCCAACACTTTCGGAGGCCAAGGTGGGTGGATCACTTGAGGTCAGGAGTTCGAGCCCAGCCTGGCCAACATGGCGAAACCCTGTCTCTACTAAAAAAACACAAAAATTAGCTGGGTGTGGTGGCTTGTGCCTGTAATCCCAGCTACTTGGGAGGCTGAGGCAGAAGAACTGCTTGAACCCAGGAGGCGGAGGTTGCAGTGAGTTGAGATCACGCCACTGAACTCCAGCCTGGGTGACGGAGCGAGACTGCATCTCAAAAACAAAACAAAACAAAACAAAAACGAGTCCTGGCCTGGTGCAGTGGCTCATGCCTGTAATCCCAGAACTTTGGGAGGCTGAGGTGGGAGGATCACTTGAATCCAGGAGTTTGAGACCAGCCTAGGCCAGATGGCAAGACCTTATTTATCTCCACAAATATTTAAAAATTAGCTAAGTGTGCTGGTGCACACCTGTAGTCCTAGCTACTCAGGAGGCTGAGGTGAGAGGATGCCTTGAGCCCAGAAATTTGAGGCAGCGGTGAGCTATGATCATGCCACTGCACTTGAGCCTGGGCAGCAAAGCGAGACCCCATCTCTGGGAAAAAAAAAAAAAGGGGGTTGTACCTGAGTGGCTGGATGAACGGTGGTACCTTTTTTTGACCTGTTGTGTTAATTATAGTAATGTTGGTACTGTAACAGATAAACTCCAGCATTCTCAGTGGCTTAACACCGTAGAAGTTTCTCACTCTTGTAAAGCTGCATTGGGTGTTCCTGATTGGCAGGGCAGCTGTTCTCCAAGCAATGTTCAGGGACCCAGTCTCCTGCCGTCTTTTTTTTTTTTTTTTTTTTTTTTGGAGATAGAGTCTTGCTCTGTTACCCAGGCTGGAGTGCAATGGCGTGATCTCGGCTCACTGCAACCTCTGCCTCCCAGGTTCAAGCAATTCTCCTGCCTCAGCCTCCCCAGTAGCTGGGATTACAGGGGCACACCACCACGCCCATCTAATTTTTTGGATTTTAGTAGCTACTGGGTTTTACCGTGTTGCCCAGGCTGGTCTCAAACTCCTGAGCTCAGGCAATTCCTCCACCTTGGCCTCCCAAAGTATTAGGATTACAGGTGTGAGCCACCACGCCTGGCCTTCCTGCCATCTTTAATACTTCCCACAGTCGGCATGTTTGTCTGCATCAAGCTGGCTGGTGGGGGTAAGCTTGGAGGTGAATGCCTGGGAAGCCCGAATGATCCTCAGATTTCATTGGTTCACACTTAGTCTCATGGCCACACCTTGCTGCACAGGAGGCTGGGAAATTTAGTCTAACAGGTGTCCAGAAGAGGAAGTGCATTTGGTAAACATCTGGCTAGTCTCTCCTATGGATAGAGAACTCGGGCAGGAGCAGATTGAAGGTGAGTTAGAGAGGGTCGGGAATCCTGTCTTCTACAGACTCAGTTTGAGAGGACTCAAAATGGGGCCATTGGGTAGCTGGCCCCTGGAGGAGCAATGAAGGAGTCATCAGTGGATGGTTCTTTAAAGCCATGGGACTGGATAAGCATCTCTGGGGAGAGTTTATAGGTAGAGAAGAGATCTGAACCCTGGGCATGGCAAGAATCCACAGTTAGGAAGCAAAGGAGAATTCACAAATAGAGACTGAGAAGAAACCAGAGAAATAGGAAAAAAATCACGGTCCCAAAAGCCCAGTGAAGAGTGTTTCAAGGAGAGAAGGATCAACTGTGTCATGCTGCTGAGACGTCAAGTAAGATGAGACCTCAGATATGTGTGTGCATTGGTGTTGGCAACATGCAGGTTGTTGGTGACCTTGATGAGGTGGTGTGATAGGAACAAAACCTTACTGAGTGGGACTAAGAGAGGCTGAGAGGTGAGGAAGTGGTAACAGTGAGTGGAGAGCTCTTTTTAGGCTTGGAATGAAGGAGAGCAGAAAAGTAGGGAGGACCAAAGAATGATAGCATGGTAGACAGTGTTTGTGTAAGACTGAAGAAATGACAGCATTCATATGAAAATCGGGACGATCCCGTAATAAGATTCTCCTGCCTCAGCCTCCTGAGTAGCTGGTACTACAGCGTGTGTGCCACCACACCTGGCTAATTTTTGTATTTTTAGTGGAAATGGGGTTTCACCATGTTGGCCAGGCTGGTCTCGAACTCCTGACCTCAAGTGATCCACCCGCCTTGGCCTCCCAAAGTGCTGGAATTACAGTCATGAGCCACCATGCTCAGCTAGGTGTTTATAAGTCAAGGAAGTTTTATGTGAAAAAAGGGAAGTACCTAAATCTGATGTACCAAACTGATATAATGAAGCATTTCCCAGTATTTGTTCCAGCAGCTGGGACTACAGCGGTGGACAAAAAGCTGAGCTGTTTGTTCTTGGGCAGGGTTCCTGAGGGGGAAGATGGATATGCAAAACAAACCACCTGAGTGCCCTGTGTCCAGTTACGGTGGATACATAAATGATCATCTCCCATTCCTATTTCCTCCTGTCAGACAAAGCCTTGTTAATCATTGTGCAAACATTCTTTCAGTTAGGGGTTTTTCAGTATTCTGGAAAACACAATGCGGCAATGTACAGAACACAACAATTTATCCTTCAGTCCGTTTTTGCACTTCTCGTTAAAATTCTGTTTAGAAAGCAGGGTTTTAGGCTTTTTGCTGTGGCAGTGGGAGTATCCAGTCTAAGAAATGAACATTGTTCAGAACTGAAAGAACTTTCATATACTGAAATATACCCTTCATTGTGTTAATAGCTGTCTGGCCTTGGGGGTGGTGCTCGTCATGGTAAGATGCTTTTTCTCCTTGTTTGCCTATAGGAGAATCAGATTCATCATGTTAGCTACAATAGTGCTATGCTGCAAGGTGGGTGTGGTTTTTTTTTTTTTTTTTTTTTAAGGTAGGGTCCTACTCTGTCACCCAGCCTGGAGTACAGTAGCGTGTTTTCGGCTCACTGTAACCTCTGCCTCCTGGGTTCAGGCGATCCTCCCACTTCAACTTTTTGGTTAGGTAGGACTACAGGCACATGCCACCATGCCCGGCTAATTTTTGTATTTTTTGTACAGATGGGGTTTCACCATGTTGCCCAGGCTGGTCTTGAACTCCTGGGCTCAAGCAATCCTCCCACCTCAGCCTCCCACAGTGCCAGGATTATAGTTGTGAACCACAATGCCCAGCCTGGCAAGGGGGGTGTTTGTTTTGTTTTGTTTTGTGATTCTCCTGCCTCAGCCTCCCGAGTAGCTGGTACTACAGCATGTGTGCCACCGCGCCCGGCTAATTTTTGTATTTTTAGTAGAGACGGGGTTGCACCATGTTGGCCAGGCTGGTCTCGAACTCCTGACCTCAAGTGATCCACCCACCTCGGCCTCCCAAAGTGCTGGGATTCCAGGCGTGAGCCATCATGTGCTCAGCCAGGTGTTTGTAAGGCAAGGAAATTTTATGTGAAAAAAGGAAAGTACCTAAATCTGATAACATTTGTAGGATATCTATACAAGACATAACTTGGGCCAAGTGCTGTGGCTCACATCTGTAATCCCAGCACTTTGGCGGGCCGAGGCAGGTGGATCACTTGAGGTCAGGAGTTTGAGGCCAGCCTGGCCAACGTGGTGAAACTCTGTCTCTACTAAAAATACGAAATTAGTCAGGTGCAGTGGCATGCGCCTGTAATTCCAGGTACTCAGGAGGCTGAGGCATGACAATCGCTTGAACCCGGGAGGTGGAGGTTGCAGTGAGCCAAAATCCGCTCCAGCCTGGGTAACAGAGTGAGACTCTGTCACAGACACACACACACACACAAAAGACATAACTAAATATCCACGAAAGTAAATATTATAGTGTGAAAGTAATAAATGCAATTCTATTTTTCACAAAAATATCAATTTAAACATTTATAATAGAGTGAATTATTCTATCATAAAGGGTTCCAAGGAAAAAAATGTTTATTGACTCGGATACAGTTTTTTAACTTTAGATTTCAGGTCAGTATTTGGTGAAACTGAAGTGATATCTGAACTGAAAGTGAGATATTTCCTCTTTGATTAAGGGGAAACTCAACTAAAAACTCATTAATGCTTTGCTTGCTGGCATAGTCATTTATTGCCACTGGGAATATGTCTTATTTCTTCAGGCAAAGATGAAACAAAGAAGAGAAAGTAACTGAACCAGAATAGTATTTTCCTTTTTTTTTGAGACGGAGTTTTGCTCTTGTTGCCCAGGGTGGAGTGCAATGTCACGATCTCAGCTCATCTCAACCTCTGCCTCCCGGGTTCAAGTGATTCTCCTGCCTCAGCCTCCCAAGTAGCTGGGATTACAGGCATGTGCCACCACACCCAGCTAATTTTGTATTTTTAGTAGAGATGGGGTTTCTCCATGTTGGTCAGGCTGGTCTCGAACTCCCAACCTCAGGTGATCTGCCCGCCTCGGCCTCCCAAAAAAAACCCAAAAAGCCTTTTTATTGGGAAATAGTTTCAGGCTTACAGAAAGTTATAGAAATAGTACATAGAATTCCCAAATACCTTTTACCTAGATTCCTCAAATGTCAGCCCTATTTGCTTTATCATCTTCCATCTCTGTTTATATGTATATGTGTGTGTATACATATACATTCTTTTCCTGAGACACTTGAGAGCAATTTGCCAACTTGATGACCTTTTGCTTTTAAGCCCTTTTCTAGGCTGGGCCTGGTGGCTCATGCCTGTAATCCCAGCACTTTGGGAGGCTGAGGCTGGTGGATCACATGAGATCAGGAGTTTGAGACCAGCCTGGCCAACATGGTGAAAACTCATCTCTACTAAAAATACTAAAGTTAGCCAGGTGTGGTGGCGGGTGCCTGTAATCCCAGCTACTAGGGAGGCTGAGGCAGAAGAATCACTTGAGCCCGGGAGGCAGAGGTTGGAGTGAGCCAAGATTGCGGCACTGCACTCTAGCCTGGGTGACAGAGCAAGTCTCTGTCTCAAGAATGAATGAATGAATTAATAAATAAATAAATATTTCAGTCCTTCCCCTACAAGGACATTTTCTTATCTACAGTACAGTTGTCAAAACCAAGACATTTACATTGCTACAATATTGTTATTGAGTGTTTAAATTTTGCCGATTAATCCAGTAATTTTAATTTTAAGAATAATATTTAATGGTTCATTTTTGCTTGGTTATAGCCTCCATCCCTGTGAGATCACTGCCCTGAGCCAATCCCTACAGCCCTTACGGAAGCTGCCTTTTAGAGCCTTTCGCACAGGTAAGGAGCAATTAGAGATGGTGGTGACCCTCTCTCTGCCTCAGTTTGGTCATCTGTAAATTGGGATAAACATAGGGTTGTTGTTAGAGTTAAATGAGTTAGTATGTGGAAAGTACCTGGCATGCAGTTATCACTGAAGCGTTAGGTTTTCTTTTTCTTTTTTTTTTTTTTTGAGACAGTCTTGCTCTGTCGCCCAGGCTGGAATGCAATGATGCAATCTCGGCTTACTAAACCTCCACCTCCTGGGTTTAAGCAATTCTCATTCTCCAAGTAGCTGGGACACAGATGTGCACCACCACGCCTGGCTAATTTTTATTGTTAATTTTTGTTGTTTTTTTAATATTTCAAAGACTGTGTGCATACTGGCTAATTTGTGTATTTTTAGTAGAGATGAAGTTTTGCTATGATGCCCAGGCTGGTCTCAAACTCCTGGCCTCAAGTGATCTGCCGACCTTGGCCTCCCAAAGTGTTGGCATTACAGGCCTGAGCCACCGTGCCCGGCCTCATTATGTCTTTTTGATTATAGCCATTCCGATGGGTGTGAAGGGGTCTCATTGTGGTTTTGATTTGCATTTCCCTGATTACTAATAATGTTGTATTAGTTTGCTAGGGCTGCTGTAACAAAGCAACACAAACTGGGTTGCTTGAACAGCAGACATTTGCCTCATGATTCTAGGGCTAAATGTCTGAGATCAAGGTGTCAGGGTTGCTTCCTTTGGAGGGCTGTGAGGGAGAATCTGTTCCATGCCTCTTGCCTAGCTTCCAATGTTTTGCTGGCAATCTCTGGCATTCCTTACATATAGAAGCATCACTCCAATCTCTGCCTTCAGCTTCACCTGGTATTCTCCATGTGTGCATGTCTGTTTCTAGATTTTCCCTTTTTATAAGGACACCCATCATATTGGATTTGGACACACCTTGGCAACCTCATTTTATTTTATTTATTTATTTACTTATTTATTTTTTTGAGATGGAGTCTCGCTCTGTCGCCCAGGCTGAGTGCAGTGGTGGGATCTCGGCTCACTGCAAGCTCCGCATCCTGGGTTCATGTCATTCTCCTGCCTCAGCCTCCCGAGTAGCTGGGGCTACAGGCACCCACCACCATGCCTGGCTAATTTTTTGTATTTTTAGTAGAGACGGGGTTTCACCGTGTTAGCCAGGATGGTCCCGATCTCCTGACCTCGTGATCCGCCTGCCTCGGCCTCCCAAAGTCCTGGGATTACAGGCCTGAGCCACCATGCCCAGCCTGCAACCTCATTTTAACTTGATAATCTCTGTAAAGACCCTCTCTCCAGCCAACTAAGGGCACCTTCTAAGGTACTCAGGGTTAGAACTTCAACATAAGAGTTTTGGGGGAGTTTTCAGCAATTTAACGCATAACAGATATTTAGCCTCTGTCTTTTCTTGTGCTTATTGGCCAATGTATTTTTCCTTTGGACAAAGGTCTATTCAAATCCTTTGCACATTTTGATTGATTGATTGAGAGAGTCTCACTCTGTTGCCCAGGCTGGAGTGCAGTGGCGTGATCATAGCTCACTGTAACCTTGAACTCCTGGGTTCAAGCAATCCTCCCACCTCAGCCTACCTAGTAGCTGGGACTATAGGTGCAAGCCGCTGTGCCTGGCTATTTGTCTTTTTATTGTTGACCTGTAAGAGTTTATGAGATTTTGCATTTGAGAGAGAATACCAGTGCCTGATCAAAATTGGGCCTGCATTATAAAAGCAAGATCAAAGAGCCCTGGGTGAGAAATGGTGTTTGGCTTCAAGTTCTGGACCTGTTGGTGACCACCTGGGCAACCTTGATTAGTTTCTTGACCTCTTTGCGATTCAGTGTTTTCATCTATTAATACATTTTGTGACTGCGGTGGCAGTTGAGGTGCATTGTAATTCTATAGGAAAGATGCCTGTCCTGTACGTACTGACAGAATTTGGAGACAGGAGGGTCTGAGTAGTGGCCCAAGGTTGCACCTGCCTGCTAGATATGTTGAGGGTCCAGTCACCTCTACTGAGGGCTTCTTTTTTTTTTTTTTTTGAAATGGAGTCTCGCTCTGTTACCTAGGCTGGAGTGCAGTGGTGCAGTCTCGGCTCACTGCAAGCTCCGCCTCCCAGGTTCACGCCATTCTGCCTCAGCCTCCCGAGTAGCTGGGACTACAGGCGCCCGCCACTGTGCCCGGCTAAGTTTTCTTTTTGTATTTTTAGTAGAGACGGGGTTTCACCGTGGTCTCGATCTCCTGACCTCGTGATCCGCCTGCCTCGGCCTCCCAAAGTGCTGAGATTACAGGCGTGAGCCATGTGCCTGGTCCCCTACTGAGGGCTTCTGAGGTGCGCTGACTTTTCCTGACCCTCCTGTTGGTGCTGTGTTTGCATGACTCTTCCCTATTCCTGTCTCTCAGGCTTGAAATTGTCCTGTTTTTTATTACAGATGCCAGAAAAATCCACACTGCCCCTGCCCGAACCATGTTCCTGCTGCGTCCCCTGCCCATTCTGTTGGTGACAGGCGGCGGGTATGCAGGGTACCGGCAGTATGAGAAGTACAGGGAGCGAGAGCTGGAGAAGCTGGGATTGGAGATTCCACCCAAACTTGCTGGTCACTGGGAGGTAGGAATGAGGTGGAACTGCCTTGGGTTCTCGTCCAGCAAACTTTGTCTGTCACTTTTCCAGTTGTTCCAAAGTTGAAATGTTTGAACAAGTCAAATATGCTTTCTTGGAACTCATGTCTCCAGTAGGTTTTGGCCAGATACAGGAGTTATAACTTTGGTGTCAAGTCAAGCTTGTCTTCTGTTGCCAGACCTTACCCTGGTCTCCCCAAGGGTTCTGAGTAGAAATTTCTTGCTGTTGAAGTCTCAGAGTGTATGTCTTGAATTGGTGCTGACATCCTGGCTGTTCTGCTATTCTTGCCCTTGTTAGTCAGAAGAGGGCTGAAACTATTGAGCTTT
The DNA here is from genome assembly GCF_000001405.40 of Homo sapiens. Taxonomy (NCBI): domain Eukaryota; kingdom Metazoa; phylum Chordata; class Mammalia; order Primates; family Hominidae; genus Homo; species Homo sapiens. The sequence continues at coordinate 31,647,762 of NC_000022.11, read as the reverse complement.
TGTGATGTGGATTAGTTCTCACCAGGAACCAGACAGAAATAATCAAATTCCTTTGTCATTATTGCTCAAAATGCTTCCTTCCATCATAGTCACACGATAGGGGCAGCCTGCATTGTTACGGAATGCACGATACGTAATGAAACATCTTGTTCATCTGTGCTTCCCATGTCCCAGGATGATTCCTGACTTAGAGGAGACATTCAGTAAATTGTGAAACTGAATATAAAGGTGTAAGTTTAACAATTGCCTTTTTTTTGCAGCCATAATTTAACAAATAAAAAATCTGAAATATCAAAGGACCAGTAATAGGTCTTAATATTCTGGGCAAAAGAGGGGGTGACAGTTGAGGCTTTGTGATATCTGGAATGCAGTGGTGATCCACTCCATTTTGCTAATCCAGATCAGCTGAATCTATTCTAATAGGACATACGGTGACTGGGGCATTAGGATGCTGAAGGCAAGTCTCAACCATGCTCCGCAGTAGCTGTGTGAACTGGGACATGTCACTTTCTGTCTGGTCTTGTGTCTTTAACAGTAAAACAGCAGGTTGGGTTCGAACATGACTCTGAGATTCCATCCAGCTCTAACAGTTTATCTAGGAGTATTTGCTGCCATTGGCATTACATGCTACATTATAGGTTTCCTTCCAAAATCCTTTTTTGGACTTTAATTTTGACCATTTTCTTCCAATAGAATCTAGTATACAGACTTCACTTGATTTCTAACAGTCCTGTAAAACCGTGACTTAGTCAACTGGCCATACAGATCCAGCTATGGGAGTTACCCTAAGAGATACCTGTCTGCTCTTGCCCTGTATGTCCATGTGCCTACCCTTTGGCCTGTTCGTACGCCTTGGGCTTTGTAATAACCTACCTTAAACAAAAAAAAAAGTTTTCCGGTACTATATCACAAATTCCTTTTGGTGAAGGGTAATTATGTAGTAGGTGAGTCACACTTTCAAAGTATGCTGCCCTCTGTTCCCTGTGGCGTTGCTGGTTTCCCCTGTAAACATCATTTTCCATTAGATTAGTAGATTAGTAAAGTACTTGTAAAGTGTAGGTAGCACGTGACTGTGACTGCATGACCCCCCTCAAGTGTTAAACCCAAGCTGACATCTTTCTGACCTTGGGGATTTTTGAGGCTGACTCACCCTGTGATGAGCTTGCATGCTTTCAAGAAATTCCCACACACTTCAAAGGTTTCCCAAAAGAATATAAATTTGGAAGAAACCTGCCACTTCCAAAATCATAAAAGACCAACGCCAGTAGTTTTTTAGTATCTGCTGTTTATGTAATTGGAGTTATTGCCATACATAGTTTCAGACCTGGAAGATGGTTGTAAAGAGGACAGGGTTGATTAACTCATAAGTCCCAGGGCCTGGAAAGTGACAGGACACTGGAGTACAGTGGCCTAATGCAGTGTGAGATCTCAAAGCACCTATTGGTAAAGAACTGGGCTTAAGTTAGATACTCTTCTTGATTGAATAAAATGGTCACAGAACCACTCCTTGATGTTCTTTTTCTTTTTTTGTAGATATGAGGTCTTGCTCTGTTGCCCAGGCTGGTCTCAAACTCCTGGGCTCAAGCGACCCTCCTGCCTCAGCCTCCCAAAGTGCTGGGATTACAGGTGTGAGCCACTGTACCGGCCACTCCTGGATTTTCAAGTGGGACTCCAACACTTCATTTTATGAGGGGGAAATGGTCTGGACTTGGAGTTGACATTGGAGTTTGAGTATCCCTTATCCAAAATGCTTGGGACTGGAAGTGTTTTGGATTTTTTTTTGGATTTTTCAATATTTGTATATATATATATACTGAGATAACTTGGGGATGTGACCCAAGTCTGAACACAAAATTTATTTATTTTATTTTATTTGTTTTGTTTTTCTTTTCTTTTTTTTTTTTTTTAGATGGAGTCTCACTCTGTTGCCCAGGCTGGAAGGCAATGGCGCAATCTTGGCTCACTGCAACCTCCGCCTCCCCGGTTCAAGCGTCTCCCACCTCAGCCTTCCCAGTAGATGGGATTACAGGCACCTGCCGTTATGCCCAGCTAATTTTTATATTTTTGTAGAGACAGGGTTTCACTGGCCGGGCGCGGTGGCTCATGTCTATAATCCCAGCACTTTGGGAGGCTGAGGCGGGTGGATCACCTGAGGTCAGGAGTTCGAGACAAGCCTGGCCAACATGGTGAAACCCCGCCTCTACTAAAACTAAAAAAAAAAAAAGAGACAGGGTTTCACCATGTTGGCCAGGCTGCTCTCGAACTCCTGACCTCAGGTGATCCGCCCACCTCGGCCTCCCAAAGTGTGTGGATTATAGGTGTGCGCCACTGCGCCCGGCCAATTTATTTATTTATTTGAGGCAGGGCCTTGCTCTGTCACCTAGGGCTGGAGTACAGTGGCATGATCACGGCTCACTGCATCCCTGACCTCCTAGGCTCAAGCCATCCTCCCACCTCAGCCTTCTGGAGTAGCTGGGAATATAAGCGTGTACCATCCTACCTGGCTAATTTGTTTGAATTTTTGTGGAAACAGGGGTCTCATTTATGTTTTAGATATACCTTCTACACATAGCCTGCGGGTAACTTTATATAATACTTTAAATAATTTTCTTCATGAAACAAAGTTTTTTTCTTTTTTTTTTGAGACGGAGTCTCACTCTGTCACCCAGGCTGGAATGCAGTGGCATGATCTCGGCTCACTGCAAGCTCCACCCTTGGGTTCAAGCGATTCTCCTGCCTCAGCCTCCCAAGTAGCTGGGATTACAGGTGCCTATTACTGCGCCAGCTAATTTTTGTATTTTTAGTAGAGACAGGGGTTCACCCTCTTGGCCAGGCTGGTCTTGAACTTGTGACCTCATGATCCACCCGCCTCGGCCTCCGAAAGTGCTAGGATTACAGGCGTGAGCCACCATGCCCGGCCAAAACAAAGTTTTGACTGTGACCTGTCACATGACATCAGATGTGGAATTTTCCACTTGTTGGTGTCATGTCAGCACTCAAAAAGTCTCTGATTTTGGATGTTCAGATTAGGGATACTCAACTATATACGTTTTCAGGAATGGCAACAGGTTAAGAAGGGAGAGTGTTGAATGGCTGTCTGGGGCCTGGTCCTAATCCCACCTCTGGTTCCACCTAATCACTGTCATCACAAATGAAAAATGTGAGATTTTCCAAATGTAGCTGATATCAGAATTGTTGGGGAGCTTTAAAAATTATGAATTTGAGGCTGGGCGTGGTGGCTCATGCCTGTAATCCCAGCACTTTGGGAGGCCGAGGCGGGCGGATCACGAGGTCAGGAGATCGAGACCATCCTGGTTAACATGGTGAAACCCCATCTCTACTAAAAATACAAAAAATTAGCCAGGCATGGTGGCGGGCGCCTGTAATCCCAGCTACTTGGGAGGCTGAGGCAGGAGAATGGCGTGAACCCGGGAGGTGGAGGTTGCAGTGAGCTGAGATCATGCCACTGCACTCCAGCCTGGGTGACAGAGTGAAGACTCCATCTCAAAAAAAAAAAAAAGAAAAAATTATGAATTTGAATTCCTTAACTCCTAGAAATCTACAAAGTTTGGGCTAGGTGCAAGATCTGTGTTTTCCAGGAGCCCTGTAGGTGATTCTGATGATAAGCCAGCTTGAAGAACCAAAGGCAGATGAGCCCTACCTAATGTTCCCTTCAGGGCTACAGTTTTTTGTTTTTGTTTTTGTTTTTTTTTTTGAGACGGAGACTCGCCCTGTCACCCAGGCTGGAGTGCAGTGGCGCAATCTCGGCTCACTGCAACCTCTGCCTCTTGGGTTCAAGCCATTCTCCTGCCTCAGCCTCCTGAGTAGCTGGGATTACAAGTGCCCGCCACCAGGCCTGGCTAATTTTTTGTATTTTTAGTAGAGACGGGGTTTCACCGTGTTAACCAGGATAGTCTCGATCTCCTGACTTCGTGATCTGCCTGCCTTGGCCTCCCAAAGTGCTGGGATTACAGGCATGAGCCACCATGCACAGCCACTAATTTTTGTATTTTTTTGTAGAGATGGGGTTTCACCATGTTGCCCAGGGTGGTTTTGAACTCCTTAGCTCAAGTGATTCACCCACCTTGGCCTCCCAAAGTGCTAGAATTACAGGCATGAGCCACTGTGCCGGGCCAGTTTTAGGTTTTTGTTTTGTTTTGTTTTTCAGAGACAGGGTCTTGCTGTGCTAAGGCTGGAGAGTAGTGGTGTGATCATATCTTGCTACAGCCTTGAACTCCTGGGTTCACATGTTTCTTTCACCTTAGCCTTCCCAGTAGTGGACTGTAGGTATGTGCCACTTCGCCAGGGTAGTTTTATATTTAAGTCTTTTATCCATTTTGAATTAATTTTTATTTACGGTATAAGAGAAGAATCCAACGTCATTATTTTGCATGTGGGTATCCAGTTTTCCCAGCATCATTTGTTGAAAAGATTATCCTTTCTCTATTGAATGGTCTTGGCATGCTTGTAGAAATCAGTCTTACTCCCTGTTAAATGACGGAGATGAATATAGCAAACACTATGACAGAATGTTGGAAAACAGGGGACATGATGATTCCCACGCCTTCTTGCCATGTGACTGTGATTGCTTAATCATGCGCTTTGTTTTTTATGCATTCACTTCCTGTCTTTATCTCTATTTTCTTTTTTTTTTTTTTTTGAGATGGCATTTTGCTCTTGTTGCCCAGGCTGGAGTGCAGTGGCACAATCTCTGCTCACTGCAACTTCCGCCTCCCGGGTTCAAGCAATTTTCCTGCTTCAGCCTCCCAAGTAGGTAGGATTACAGGTGTGTGCCACCACGCCTGGCTAATTTAGTATTTTTAGTAGAGACGGGGATGCTCCATGTTGGTCAAGCTGGTCTCGAACTCCCGACCTCAGGTGATCCGCCCGCCTCAGCCTCCCAAAGTGCTGGGATTACAGGTGTGAGCCACCACGCCCGGCTTTTTTTCTTTCTTTTTTTTTTTTTTTGAAACTGAGTCTCGCTCTGTCTCCCAGGCTGGAGTCCAGTGGCGTGATCTTCGCTCACTGCAACCTCTGCCTCCCGGGTTCAAGTGATTCCCCTGCCTCAGTCTCCCAAGCAGCCGGGACTACAGGTGCGCGCACCACCACGCCCAGCTAATTTTTGTATTTTTAGTAGAGATGGGGTTTCACCGTGTTGGCCAGGATGCTCTCAATTTCCTGACCTTGTGATCCACCTGCCTTGGGCCCCCAAAGTGCTGGGATTACAGGTGTGAGCTACCACACCTGTCCTTTTTTCTGTATTTTTAAATTGATTCAGCTGTTTGTTTGTTTTTTGTTTTTCTTTTTTGAGGCAGGCTCTTGCTGTGTTGCCCAGACTGGAGTGCAGTGGCACAGTCACAGCTCACTGTAGCCTTAACCTTCCGAGTTTAAGCAGTCCTCTCACCTCAGCCTCCCAAGTAGCTGGGACATGGTGCACAGGCATGCACCACCACCACACTCAGCTAATTTTTTATTTTTTGTAGAGATGGGGTCTCACTATGTTGCCTAGGCTGGTCTCAAGCGATCCTCCCACCTTGGCCTCCCAAAGTGCTGGGATTCCAGGTGTGAGCCACCCTGGAGCCACTCTTGGCTCTTCCTCAGTGGTGACAGGCGCCCAGGTCCTGAAGTCTCTGGTTGCCACTGAGGCTTTACCACCTCAGTTGATTCTGGTATACTGGTGGTCTTTGCCACCATGAATAATGTTGCAGAGCATACCTTTGCACATAAAGCCTTTTCCTCATGATGAAAGCCTACGTGTAGGATTGCTGCCTGAAAGGGTATGGACACCTTTATGGTTTGTGGCATGCATTTGGCTTCTAAAACAATCGGAGTGTTTCCCCCTTATCCAAGGTTTCATGTTCCTGCAGTCTGAAAATATTAAATGTAAATTTCCAGAAATAATTCCTAAGTTTTTAAATTTTATCATTATTATTATTATTTTTTGAGATGGCGTCTCACTCTGTCGCCCAGGCTGGAGTGCAGTGGCGCGATCTCAGCTCACTGCAACCTGCGCCTCCCGGGTTCAAGCAGTTCTCCTGCCTCAGCCTCCCGAGTAGCTGGGATTACAGGCTTGTGGCACCACACCTGGCTAATTTTTTTGTGTGTTTTTAGTAGAGATCGGGTTTCACCATTGTTGGCCAGGCTGTTCTTGAACTCTTGACCTCAGGTGATCTGCCCACCTCAGCCTCCCAAAGCTGGGATTACAGGTGTGAGCCACCGCACCTGGCCACAATTCCTAAGTTTCAAATGTCTCCCTGTTCTGAGTAGCATAATGAACTCTCTCTCTCCCACCTAGGATATGAATCCTCCCTCTGTCCATTGTGACCTCAGTGTCTATGCTGCCTGCCCATAAGTCACTTAGTAGCCATCTCAGTTACCGTATCAGCTGTCGTGGTATTCTGGTGCTTGTGTTCAGGTCACCCTTATTTGGCTTAACACTGGCCCCAAAGTGCAATAATAGCAATTCTGGCAATTTGGATTGCCGAAGAGAAAGTGGTAAAGTGCCTTCTTTAAGTGAAAATGTGAAAGTTCTGGACTTCAAAAGGAAAGAAAAAAAATCATATGCTGATTTTGATAAGATCTATGGTAAGAGTGAATCTTTTATCCGTTAGTTGAGCATGATGTCGAGGTGGGTGGATCACCTGAGGTCAGGAGTTAAGACCAGCCCGACCAACATGGTGGAACCCCTCTTCTACTAAATACAAAAAATTAGCCGGGAGTGGTGGTGCATACTTGTAATCCCAGCTACTTGGGAGGCTGAGGCAGGAGAATCGCTTGAACCCAGGAGGTGGAGGTTGCAGTGAGCCGAGATTGCGCCATTGCACTCCAGCCTGGGCAGCAAGAGTGAAACTCCATCTCAAAAAAAAAAAAAAAAAAAAAAAACACCGGGTGTGGTGGCTCATGCCTGTAATCCCAGCACTTTGGGAGGCCGAGGCGGGTGGATCACCTGAGGTCAGGAGTTCAAGACCAGCCTGGCCCACATGGTGAAACCTTGTCTCTACTAAAAATACAAAAATTAGCCAGGCGTGGCGGCAGGCACCTGTAATCCCTGCTACTCGGGAGGCTGAGGTGGGAGAATTGCTTGAACCCAGGAGGCAGAGGTTGCAGTGAGCCGAGATCGTGCCATTGTACTCCAGCCTGGTTGACAGAGCGAGACTCCGTCTCAAAAAAAAAAAAAAAAAAAAAAACAACCAAACCGAAACAAAAAGGATGTTTTTATTTTAAGTTTTTATTTCACAGAATGATGTCTCTAGAAAGGGTAGCTTGAGGCCTGGAGTGGTGGCTCATGCCTGTAATCCCAGCACTTTGGGAGACTGAGGTGGCGGATCACTTGAGCTCAGGAGTTTGAGACCAATCCGCGCAACGTGGTGAAACCTCATCTCTGCTCAAAATACAAAAATCAACCGGTGTGGTGGCATGGGCCTGTGGTCCCAGCTACTTGGGAGGCTGAGGTGGGAGGATTGCTTGAGCCAGGAGGTAGAGGTTGCAGTGAGTTGAGATTGTGCCACTGCACTCCAGCCGGGGTGACAGAGCAAGACTCTGTCTCAAAAAAAAAAAAAAAAAGTAGCTTGAAATCGTGTTCTGGAAAGCTGCTTGCTGAGCTGCTCAGGTTGAAGACCCAGAGTGTTCCTTTTAGTTCCATTTAGCCCCGTCGCGTGGAGTGTGCGCAGCTTGAATAATGCTTTTTGGCTTCCAGAGTGCTATTCCCTTGAGTCCCTGATTCAACCTGTGGCCCATCAGTGGGCAGAGGTGATTTTCTGCAGGGTACCAAGGGCACTCTTGAAGGCAGGAGCTCAGGGACTGCTGAGAAGTAGAAGAGCCGCTTCTCTGAGTTTCTTTTCAGGAACTCATGATGTCCTGGGAACATTCTTGGTTCTTGGCCTGAGTGTTCACTTGGGTTCCACAGGTGTGGCTTGTGGCTTTGGCTGTTGACATAGAGGCCTGTGCTCAGAGCCGCGGTGAGTGAGCACAGACAGAGGGTGGGTGGCTACCAGGTACAGATCTGTAGTTTATGGATCCATAGTTTATACTGCTGCAGTGGTCATATGTCCTGCCTTTGTGTGGCGGTTGTGATTTCAGATATGCTGCCTATTTGTCCCCAAAAGTCATAAAAAAAATCATTCAGCAATCATGTCATATTGCCTGTTTCCTCTTTTCCTGAAATTGACAAATACTGTTTTAGATTATATCTCAAATTTTTGGTTACAAAACATCTAATTGAAAATATACACTTTCAGCTAGGCATGGTGGCTCATGCCTGTGATCCCAACACTTTGGGAGGCTGAGGTGGGAAGATTGCTTGAGCCCAGGAGTTCATGACCAGCCTGGCAAGGCAAGACTCTGTCTCTACAAAAAAATACATTAAAAAATTAGCCAGCCTGGCCAACATGGTGAAACCCCGTCTCTACTAAAAATGCAAAAACATTTGCTGGGTGTGGTGGCGGGCGCCTGTAATCCTAGCTAATTTGGAGGCTGAGACAGGAGAATCACTTGAACCCAGCAGGCGGAGGTTGCAGTGAGCCGAGACTGCGCCATTGCACTCCAGCCTGGTCAATGAAACTCTGTCTCAAAAAAAAAAAAAAGAAAAAGGAAAAGAAAAATTAGCCAGGGGTGGTGGTGTGTGTGCCTGTGGTCCCTGTTACCTGAGAGGCTGAGACAGGAGAATCGCTTGAACCTGGGAGGCGGAGGTTGCAGTGAGCTGAGATCATGCCACTGCACTCCAGCCTGGTGACAGAGCGAGACGCTGTCTCAGGGGGAAAAAAAGGAAAAAAAAGACAGGCTCTCACTCTGTCATCCAGTCTGGAGTGCAGTGGTGTGAGCAGGGCTCACCACGGCCTCGACCTCCCAGGCTCAGGTGATCCTCCCACCTCAGCTGAAACTGCGCCATTGCACTCCAGCCTAGGCAATAAGAACGAAACTCTATCTCAAAAAAAAAAAAAAAGAAAGAAAAAAAAAATGGAAAAGAAAAGAAAAATCAGCCAGGGGTGGTGGTGTGTGCCTCTGGTCCCAGCTGCCTGAGAGGCTGAGGCAGGAAGATCTCTTGAGCCCAGGAGTTTGAGAGCAGCCTGGGCAACATAGCAAAACCATGCCTCTACAAAGAAAAAACCATTAGCTAGTAGTAGAGACAGAACTGGTTTTTGTGGCAGAGGCTAGGGAAGGATGGGGGCAGATCTCTGAGGGGAGGAGTGGCCTGCGGGTGTCCTTACTACCCGTTTTGCCTCTCTTGGGGCAGCTGTGTCATTTCCTCTCTGCCGGTCTTCTTGGCCAACAAGCGTTTCTCCCTCTTCCCTGTTCTCCCCACTTCCCCACTTCATCCCCCTTCATCCCCCCTTCCTCGCCCCTCCACAGACCCAGGGCATTTGGTGGACACTTTTGCTTGCAGTTAGGTCAAGTGGAGGTGAGTTTCCCATGGGGCAGGGGCTTGACAGCAGGGGTGGCCGTCCAGACTCTCCAGAAGGGACGTGGGGCTGCTGTTGTGACTGGACCTGCCCCACATCTTTGGGCCTGAGCTGTGCCCGGTCACAGCGTCCTGAGTTCCTTTGTGTTGCCTCTGCCCCGTGGATCTAGGTCTTGGGGGAGGGCTGGTTTCATCCTGGGGCTACCACCACCTGGCAGCAGCCCCACAGCCAAGGGCAGGCACAGCCAAAATACATCTGCCTGAGTGGCCACAGAGCAGGGCCAGGCTCTCCTGGCCCAGTGGTTTGGAGGACAGAGGGCCTGGCCCGAGGGGAGGCACTTGCTCAGCCTGCGGCTCCCACGCCAAAGGCAGGGCGGCCTCTGGGTCTGTCTGGGGCCGAGCCTTATTTCTGGAAGCACATGGATCCTCCTTCCTTGCCACTCAGTCTAAATGTTTAGGTTACAAACATTCTGAGTGAGAAATTTCAGTCAGAGCTTGTAATGTGTAGGACGTGACATTAGGGAGTGAAGAGCTTTCCTCTTCACTGATTCAAGATAGCCAGTGCCGGGTGAGGGGAGCGGGACACTTGCTTCTTCAGAAGAGTGGATCCAAAAGTTGACCTCTTCCCCAGACTGAGTCAGCATGGGAAGAGAATTGTGCTTTCACAAAAGCAGAGATGCTTTTCTGTAGCTTTCACTGTTTCTTCTTTGCTCTGGAAAATGGAGGACGAAGGAGTTCTCAGGTCCTCAGTCACTGGAGTAAAGTGACATGCACGTCCCAGCGTGAGTGCCTGAATGGGTCTCTCAGGTCTGAACAGAACAGCCCTGTGGCTGCCGCGAGCTGGTGCAGGAGGAAGTACAGAGGAGGGTCCGGTTCAGAGTGGCGTGAGACCAGGGTTAGATGACTGTTGCCAGTTTAGGGCCAGTGAGAGATTTTTAATGGTAAATATGTAACCTCTTTTAAAAAAAAACAAAAACAAACAAAAAACACAACTTTTTCTTTTTTGAGAGAGTCTTGCTCTGTTGCCCAGGCTGGAGTGTAGCGGTGTGATCACAGCTTACTGCAGCCTCAACCTCCCAGGCTCAAGCGATCCTCCCACCTCAGCCTGCTGAGTAGCTGGAATTACTGGCGTGCACCACCATGCCCGGCTAATTTTTCTATATATATATATATATATATATATATATATATATATATATATTTTTTTTTTTTTTTTTTTTTTAATTTATTTATTATTATTTTTTTTTGTAGAGTTTTGCCGTGTTGCCCAGGCAGGTCTCAACCTCCTGGGCTCAAGTGATATAGCTGCCTTGGCCTCCCAAAGTGTTGAAATTATAGGCGTGAGCTACTGCGCCCAACGAATATGTAATCTTTTTAAAAAAAGGGAAAAGGTTGGGCGCGGTGGCTCACACCTGTAATCCCAGCACTTTGGGAGACCGAGATGGGTGGATCACGAGGTCAGGAGTTCAAGACCAGCCTGGCCAACATGGTGAAACCCCGTCTCTACTAAAAATACAAAAATTAGGCTGGGCGTGGTGGCTCATGCCTGTAATCCCAGCACTTTGGGAGGCTGAGGTGGGCAGATCACAAGGTCAGGAGATCGAGACCATCCTGGCTAACACGTTGAAACCCCGTCTCTACTAAAAAAAATACAAAAAATTAGCCGGGCGTGGTGGCGGGCGCCTGTAGTCCCAGCTACTTGGGAGGCTGAGGCAGGAGAATGGTGTGAACCTGGGAGGCAGAGCTTGCAGTGAGCCGAGATCGTGCCACTGCACTCCAGACTGGGAGAGAGAGTGAGACTCCATCTCAAAAACAAAAAAAAACAAAACCCAGAAATTAGCTGGGCGTGGTGGCGGGTGCCTGTAATCCCAGCTACTTGGGAGGCTGAGGCAGGAGAATCGCTTGAACCCGGAAGGTGGTTTTATTGTTTTGAGGCATGGCCCTGGGGGCTTGTGGCAAGGGCTGAGGTGTTTGGGGAGCAGCAGTGCAGGAAAGGCCTTACTCAGCTGGGCTTGCAGGTATGCTCACTCCTGTCTGAGCGCTGCTTCCTTGTTTCTAGCCTCCGTTTAGAATAAAAAAAAAATGTATAGTACAGTATTCCAATTCATCAAAAGGAATAAAGACAGATCAGCCTGTCTGGTCTACCACCATTCAGCCTAAGCATAAGGCAGAACCCTGTGAAGTGGCCTGTGTCCTCCTTCTCTCCCTGTCCCCTTCCTGGAGCCCCATGGGCCTGTGCTCAGCACGCGTCCTGGCGCCGCGGTGTACCTGGTAGTGGGCAGTATCGGACGTGTTCTCCATGTTGGTGAGCGATGTACATGCTGTAGCTTTATTATTCTCATCTATAAATAGGGCCATTCATGCCCTCATAAAGTTGTTAAATAAGAGTGATGTGTATGTAAATACCTGGCCCCATGCTGGCAGGGAGTGGAGCTTTAGTACTATTTTACTTCTTACCTAATAGGTGTGAGTGTGGAAATGGGCAAATAGTCAAGTTGGCAGGGAAGCAGAGCCTCCTGCCTGCCCCAGTGCCACCTGAACTCCTGTAGTGTTCTTATGCCACTGGAACTGGCTGGCAGGGGCCAGCTCTGACCTCAGAGAATTGTGGGCTCACTCTAGGGCAGGAGGAGATCGCAGAGGGCGGAACGGTGGCTCATACAGCCATGCCCCCAGGTGGCCCAGGACCCACCTGGGAGCTACCTCCAATGGCTTTGAGCGGTCAGTGTGTGGACAAGCGGAGGGACCGTGTCTCAAGAATATGTGGAACTCAGCGGGGCATGGTGGCTGACGCCCGTAATCCCAGCACTTTGGGAGGCAGGCAGATCACCTGAGGTCAGGAGTTTGAGATGAGCCTGGCCAACATGGTGAAACCCCATCTCTACTAAAAATACAAAAATTAGCCCAGTGTGGTGGCAGGTACCTGTAGTCCCAGCTACTTGGGAGGCTGAGGCATGAGAATTGCTTGAACCCGGGAGGCAGAGGTTGTGGTGAGCCAAGATCATTCCACTGCACTCCAGCCTGGGGGATAGAGTCAGACTCTGTCTCCAAAAAAAAGACATGGAACTTAAACACAAGGCTAAACTTCTGGGCTGGAAGGAATCGAGGGATGGCCGACTCAAGATACCTGCAGCCCTGCATGAAGCTGTCTGCCAGGAGGCTCTACCTAAAAGCAGTTTTGTTTTGTTTTGTTTTGTTTTTTGAGACGGAGTTTTACTCTTGTTGCCCAGACTGGAGTGCAATGGCACGATCTCAATTCATTGCAACCTCCACCTCCCAGGTTCAAGCGATTCTCATGCCTCAGCCTCCTGAGTAGCTGGGATTACACGTGCGTGCCACCACACCTGAGTAATTTTGTATTTTTAGTAGAGACAGGGTTTCACCATGTTGGCCAGGCTGGTCTTGAACTCTTGACCTCAGGTGATCCGCCCACCTCAGCCTCCCAAAGTGTTGGGATTACAGGCATGAGTCACCGTGCCAGGCCTAAAAGCACTTTTTCTTTTTCTTTTTCTATTTTTTTTTTTTTTTTTTTTTGAGATGGAGTCTTGCTCTGTCACCCAGGCTGAATGCAGTGGCAATCTCAGCTCACTGCAACCTCTGCTTCCTAGGTTCAAGCGATTCTCCCACCTCAGCCTCCCGAGTAGCTGGGATTACAGGCGTGCACCACCACACCTGGCTAATTTTTGTATGTTTAGTAAAGATGGGGTTTCACCATGTTGGCCAGGCTGGTGTTGAACTTCTCACCTCAGGTGATCTGCCCACCTTGACCTCCCAAAGTGCTGGGATTACAGACACTAAGTCACCACGTCTGGCCTAAAGCACTTTTTCTGAATTCCACCCCAGTCTGCCCTTCCTGAGTGCCTGGGCAGGGCCCTTGGGGAGCTGCTGGTGGGGCTCTGAATGTGCCAGGGGTATCCGGGACATCTTGCAGGCTAGTGGGACTGCCAAAAACGATTCTCAAAGATGAGTGGGGAGTTGGGCAGGGATAGGAGAATCTGGTGTGTAGAGAAATAGCCTGAAGGCACTTTGTGCTTGCCTGGCCTCTCTGCCCAGACGTTGGGGAGGCTGATGCCTGCCTGTGGTTTCTTGTACTAGCCGTTAAGACCCCAGCCATCTTCCTTGAGGGGCTTCTGCCAGCCCCCAGGGAATGAGAATTAGCCAAGAGCCAGGAAATGAGAATTAGCTGAGGACACCTTTTACCCCTGTTCCGCAGCTACCTTCTGTTCCCTGGCACAGGGCATCCCCTTAGAAGTAGTGCATGAAATTCACACAGCTGGGACCTGGCAGAGAATACAGGTGGCTTGACTGAGGCAGGGAGGCCTCCATCTGCAGGTGGCCTGAGAGCCTGCAGAGCCTCACAGTGGCACTAGGTGGCACTCCCACCCAAGGGAGTCCTAACAGAGTGGGAGGCGTGGAAATAAAGGACTCCATGGCCTGAAGGAAATAAATACAAGGTAGGAAAGTAAATTTCCAGACAATTTTTTTTCCCTAATGGAAATTCACTTGTAAGTGATTGTTCAAAATCCAGAGGCATTTCCCCACTGAAAATATGTGTGGTGGAGGTCTGGTTGGAAGGTGGGGTAGTGCTAATCTCGGCCAACTTGTGGGCTGGTTTATGGGTTTCGTTTGTTTGTTTGTTTGTTTGTTTGTTTTTTGAGACGAGTCTCGCTCTGTCGCCCAGGCTGGAGTGCTATGGTACGATCTCGGCTCACTGCAACCTCCACCTCCTGGGTTCACGCCATTCTCCTGCCTCAGCCTCCTGAGTAGCTGGGACTACAGGCGCCCGCCACCATGCCTGGCTAATTGTTTGTATTTTTAGTAGAGATGGAGTTTCACCGTGTTAGCCAGGATGGTCTCGATCTCCTGACCTCGTGATCCGCCTGCCTCGGCCTCCCAAAGTGCTGGGATTACAGGCATGAGCCACCGCGCCTGGTGGTTTACGGGTTTTTAAACACCCATCTGCCTTAGAGGCTTAGAATGGCTAAAAAGCAATGCCAGTGGATGCAGTGCAGCCGAGCTGGCCATTCCACAGGGAAGAGTGTGAGAATCCCAGAGATCTCTCAGCACATGGGAGGTAGAATGTGTGCAGAAGCTGGTCTTTCCTCTACAGACCTTTCTCCCCTGGTCTAACTGGGGCTTGGTTTTGTTCCGTCCCCAGGGACCTGTGTGGGCTGGTCTGTAAGTACTAGAGGCTTTGAGGAGGCCAGGATGGTCTTCCAGGGTCTTTCCAGTTCTGGAAGTTGGTGGTGGCAGGATTCTGCGTCAACATCTTTCTGTGCTTTAATTGCATTTTATCCCATGTCATGTGTTTCCTTGGACCTCTGAGGTGAGAAGGGGTCTGAAGTTTCTTTGGGGCTCTGAGAATGCTGGGATCAGTTACAGTAAGTTCTCAATCTTGATGATAGGTTCTTGGGATCTTCACCTTTAAGCAAAACATAGAATGAAACCAGTTTTACCATAGGCTGATTGATAGAAGCAAGAATTAAGTTCCTATGGATGTTTCTGACCACAAAAACATCACCGAACTTTTAAAGACCCCAAACATTTCTAATATTAACCATTGAAATGTGAGCTATACATGCATTTATGAATGATTAATAAAAAGTTAGATAATTATTTACCTAATTACTCCATTTCAGGGTTGCAGGTGGTCCCCTATCCGATGGGCAGCTCAGGGCACAAGGCGGAAACCAGTCCTGGATGGGATGTCTTCCCATGGCAGGGTGCACCCACACCCACACTCACTCAGACTGGGACCATTTAGACACACCAGTGAGCCTAATGTGCATGGCTTTGGGATGTGGAGGAAACTAGGGTACTCAGAGAACACCCATGCAGACATGGGGAGAACGTGCACACTCCACACAGACAGTAGCCCTGGCTGGAATAGATTTTTTTTCTCATCAGTGTTATGATGACACTATTTGAGGACCTCCCGTAGTGATGTCTGGACAGGAGAATATTAGGAGCAGCTTTGTATAAGGTATCTGCCACCCCTGTACCACATGCTGAGGCCCTTAGGGGTGGCACTGTGCCTTGTTCACCCCTGCCTCCCTGTTCCCATGGGTGCATTGTAGGTATGGAAGAACATGGAAATCCATGGAGGAGGACCCTATCTGTCTTCTTCCCCCTGCCGCATCCCAGGGCTGTGGCTTGTCATGTGGCACTTGCTTGGGCTGGATCCAGGTAAGGACGACAGGTGTATGGGGCTGTGACTGTACACCCTTATGTCCTATTCCAGGCGTGGCCCCCACACCATTTCTCCGCAAGCCCTACAGACCCTCTCCTCCTGTTCCAAACCTTAATTCTTTCTTTCTTTTTGGTTTAAAAAAAGAGGTCTCACTATGTTGTCCAGGCTGGTCTCAAACTCCTGAGCTTAAGTGATCCTCCCACCTTGGCCTCCCAAAGTGCTAGGATCACAGGCATGAGCCTTCATGCCTTAGTTGCTTTAGAAACAAAGATCTCAGTGGTGAGAAGCCGCTGGAATTGTATCCTGTTCAGTGGCTCAGAATGAGGAGACTGAGACTTCTAGGGCCAACTCACCATTGAATAGGGAATGGGCGTGCTCAGTTGCTCCCACAGATGTGAACAAGGCTACTTAATGCCACACCTTTTCTTTGGTTGAATGGTGATCCCTCTCAGACCCTTCCCCTCCCCTAAAAGCATTAAGCTGATTGGTCTGATCCCATGTGGGCTGAGTGCTTGTCGGATGCCTGGCACCATGTGGGTACGGGGTGGACTGCCAAGCCGCAGACTAGGGCCCTCCGATCTAGCGGGGTGGGAAGACAGCATGCATCATCCATCCCATGGGCTCTGCATCCTAGTAGTGAAGCAGGGAGGCCTGTGTGCTCTAGGCTGGGGCGGTCGGACCTTGTTTCTGGCTGCCCTTGTTCGCTGGTCTACATCAGTTTTGGAGTCAGGGCATTCTGTTTGTCAGGGTTTTGCGTGCCTGGAGGGCAGAAGGTTGGGGTGGGAGCAGCCTTGTAGCTTCAAGATGGGATGCGGGAAGGATCAAGGATTTCGCATTCTCTGGAGCTTCCTAGGGCTAGCAGGGGTGGCTTTCTGTTCAGTCCAGTGAAGAAGCTGGTCCTCAGTGAGGTCAGCAGCACGTGGGGTCCTGAGTCTGCCTAGTGTTGGGTCGCGGGTGGTGGAGGGGAGGCAGCTGCTTTGGGAGGCCAGCCACGGGCTGCAGACAGGCGGCTCACAGACCAGCGGACAGACTGAGGACAGACAGGAGGCATCCCTTGGGAGCAGCCGGGCCCACCTTGCTGGTTGAGTGGGGTCCTCCCGTGACAGTGACCAAGCAGAGCTGGTGTCTGCTGCCCTTCCCCTTCTCCCTGGCCTTGGCCCTTCCTCTTAAAGGGGCCCTCGGGTTGGGCGGACGGCCCAGCAGGACTGGGGCTCAGAGGGGGCGGCAGCTTTAAGGGTGGCTGGGGTCGGCCTCCTGCCCCCGCCCCTGGTAGTCTGAGTGGCTGGAGCCCGAGCCCCGCCCACTCGCCCCAAGGCTTCCCGGCTCCGGGAGCGCCCCTAGGGAGTCGGAGCCCGGAAGCTGGAGCCACCTGCGGGTGAGTGAGCGGAGCCGGCGCCCCGGCCCTGCCGGGAGCCCCAGGTGACTTCTCAGGGAGGCGCCCCACCCTGCCCGCTCAGAGGGCCAGTGCCGGGTGGGGGTGCCCTTCTAGGGCCTTCGGTCGCAGGTGGGCTCTCCCAGCTGTGACGACGCGGCCCCGGCCTGAGGAGCCCCGCGGACAAGGTTGAGCGAGTCGTGGGCTTTTTTTCCGTCCCCACGTGGGCACGGCCCGGGCTGCGTGAGCTCACTTCCTCCACATCTTATCTCCTGCCGGGCGCGGGTACGGGAAGTGAAGAGCGTACGGGAAGTGAGGCGGCCGCGGGAAGTGAGGGGGTGCCTGCAGTGAGGCGGCTGCAGGAAGTGAGGGGGTGCCGGCTGGCATTGGCGGGGCCCGGGCTGAGAGCTCCGTCTCCTTGGTGCTGCCGGAGGGCCTGGGGGCAGGCCGCCTGGGGAAGAGGGCGGCGCCCGAGGGCCAGGGAGCGGGTGGCCGGCTTACTGCCTTTGCCCAGAGCCGGTTCCCCTCAGCACCCAGAGTTGTCTGAGAGGAGGTTCCCTGTCTTTGGGCGGCTAGGATAGACCCCTGCGAGTCCTGCCTGCCCTCTTCCCAGGGCCTCCTGGGCTGCCTGCCACTGACTCTGGTCCATGTCGCCCAGGGAGGACCATTTTCCCCGTCTCCTACTTGGGAAGTTTGCCTGCTTCTAGCTCAGGAATGCAGGGAAGGCAGGGTTGTCGCCCCACTAGACGCACGCCGCTGCATGGTGGCCAGGCCTCAGCTGAGCTGGGGAGAAAGTCAGCCCCTTGCCCCCACCCTCGCCCCCGGGGGAAGTGCATGGCCCGCAGTCAGGCCACTGGACACAGGATTTGGGGCCCTGGAAGTTTCTGCTGAGGCTTCAAGAGGGGTGGTCCTGGCGTTCCAGGCGCTTCCCATCAGACAGCAGGAGCCAGTTCTCAGGGTCCTTGGCTGAACACACAAGCTGCAAAGCTACATATACTCCGGCAGAGCTGGCTGCGGGCTGCAGACTGCAGGTGACAGTGCCATATCCCTCACTGCCTGCTCCGCCTTGCTAAGGCTTGAACCAGAATCCACTAGGAGCAGGACTGTAAGTGTATACACGCATACCCCTACACACACACACCCCTGCACCTACACACACCCTCATGCACACACCCCCTACCTACACACACCCCCTCACCTACACACACCCCTTGCACCTACACACCCATACACGCACGCGCCCCCTACAGGCACACACCCCCTCACCTACACACACCCTCGCACCTACATACACACCCCTATATGCGCCCACCCTCACACCTACGCACATGCCTCCTACATGCACACACCTTGCACCTGTGCACACCCCCTCCAGGCACATAACCTCACACCTACGCACACACCACCTATACGCATAACACACTCACACCTACACACCCCCTACACACACCCTCACACCTACACACCCCACACATCCTCGCACCTATACACGCACCCCTCCATGCACATACCCTTGCACCTGCACACGTATCCTCCATGCACACACACTTCCACCTACATGCACCTACCCCTCACGCACAACAATCTTGCAGGCCCCAACCCAACCTGTAGTAACTGCTGCCTGGCCTGGGGTCATTCATCGACTTCAGTTGGAATGTTCCATTCCACTGGGGGGGCAGGTGTTGTGGTCTTTACCCTGGTTGGTGAGGGACGGGTGGGGACACTGCCTTACTGCTCTGGTATGGATCCCCAAAACAGCATGTCCTGACAAAGGTGTTCCCCTACCCCCTATACGGTCCTATCAGCCATTGTTTCCTATTCACAGGGCCGGTCACTCCGCGCAAGTTTGGGTTCCTGTTTTAGAACTGCCACCTAAGCCCCTCTTATTTCATCTTTCCTGTGGTGGAAACCCCTGCCCCCACCGGAGTGTGAGGTTGACTTTTTGGAAAGAGAGGTGAGGTGTTGGAAGCCAGGTCTGAGGCTGCGTCGCGCTCCTAGGTGGAAGTGGGGTTTCTGAGCAGTTGTTCTGGGCCATGGTTGCAGCTGTGCTCTGAGCCTCAAGGGGGTGGCCAGGAGGAATTTCCTTTCCCATTTTCCAGATGTACAAACCAAGACTTAGAGACTACCTGTGACTTGCCAATGCCTTTCCCTGCTCTCAGGGCAGAGGTAGAGGAAGGCAGCCAGGATTGCAGTGACCAGGTTGTCATCAGCCACAAAGCCCTCTGAGTTCTCATGTTGCAGGTGACTGGCCCTTAGGCCATGTAGTGACATTAAAGTCCTATTGGTCACAACCCTAAACTCCTCTCCACAGAATGTCTTTGAGGCTTAGAAGGGAGGGAAGGTGTCAGTGCTTCCTCCATTCTGGATACCCTTCTTGCAAGCTCCTCATCCAGGGCCTGAGGCTCCCACCTCGTGTCACCTCAAGACAGCCAGAGAGGATGAAATCTTTGGCTTGGGCTTCCAGGGCTGTCATAGGCAGAGGGCAAGCCAGGATTTGAAATAGGGAGGCCAGAAACACTGCTGGCCAAGGAAGTGGCTTGGCCTTGGGAAGCAAGAAGGCAGCAACCTCTAGGCGCCCCTTCTCTCCATCCTGCAGCTCTGAGAGGGACAGACGGTGCTCAGCCTGTGTCCTGGGGCAAAGCTGGATTCATTTTCCTCCCTGGCGATCTTCTGGGGCCCACAGCTGGTGATATGGAGGCACTGACACCCTGGTCTCGGCGCTTGTTTTAGAAGAGGCAGAACAGTGATAAAGACAAGGATCTAAATGGGCAAGGACGCCCTGCCCTCACTGGGCTCACTGGCAGGTGCGGTGCCCCAGCCTGGCCTCTCAGGATGGTTCTTAGTCTCTCCAGGGCTCACCTTTCCCTGATGGGCATCTGACCTGGCCCCTGGCCTCATGTGCCTTGATTCCTCAGTAGGGCCCCCTCTGAGACCGGAGGCCAGACCCAGCCCCTCACAGCACCATGGGAGAATGAAATGCCAAGGCTCACAGGGGAACCTGCTTTGAGAACCCAAGGTTTTTGGCCGAGCTGGGTTTATCTGGGTTCATGTCTTTCTAATACATTCAGGGCTGTGGTCGTCACTGTCCCACATGGTAGGTCAGTGAGGAAAACTGGCAGGAGGCTGGGGCTCCCCAAGGCCCCTCCTCTCTGCCTCCCCTCAAGGCCACGCTTGCCTCCCTCTGAATCCTGGCTGTGAGCTCAGTTCCAAGCCTGCA
Source organism: Homo sapiens (assembly GCF_000001405.40). Taxonomy (NCBI): domain Eukaryota; kingdom Metazoa; phylum Chordata; class Mammalia; order Primates; family Hominidae; genus Homo; species Homo sapiens. The sequence continues at coordinate 31,627,589 of NC_000022.11, read as the reverse complement.
CTCTATAGACCAGGGAAAGAGCTTCCCCTTTGGAACCAGGCACCAGGCTCACCCCTGACTGCTATCACCCCTGTTTCCTGGGCAGATGGCAGGAGGCCAGCATGGAGCCTGGTGGGCCAGGGAGGGTGGGGCGTTTGCTCAGTATGTTGGCGGAGTGGTTGGAGTGACATGGCCCTGGAGGCCTGGACACTGGGGCTGTCTATGGGCCTGGGCCTCGGCCTTGAGATGCAATGGGCCTCTTGTGCCTGTGCCAATCTCCTGGTGCCGGCACCTTCCCAAGGGAGGATGCTGGTGTGTATCTGTTTGCTGGTGGGTAGGCGCCCTCCTGCCTGACCCATCTGCAGTGAGCTGTCCCCGTCACTCATTTAGGAGAGGGGCCTGGACCAGCCCCAGCCTGGATCGGGGGAGAAATCCACGCTTGTGTCTGACCTTAGTCACCTTATTGTCCTGGCTCCAAGAGGCCACTGAATCTCATACCCGGGGCTTCGGTGATTCTTGCAGGCAGGTTCCCGGGCGGAATCTTCACCTGTGTGGCTGAGGAGGGTTTGCCAGGGCGTCAGATGTTCAACCACGCGCGACCACAGCGATGTCTGAGTTAGGCCTCATGGCGGGCTGGCCATGCCTGGCCTATTCTTTGCTTTAGATGGCAGCTCTTGGGGCCACATTTCATCATCTAAGGATGGTGACAGGTGCCTGCCCCTTCCTGGGCAGTGGCTGGGGGTGAAGGACTGGAGGGGTGGGCTCCCTGTCAGCCCATATCCTGGAGGGCCTTGATTGCCTGGGCTGAGATAGCACAGCTTCAGCATGTTTGCTCTTCCTTCCGCTATCTGTGCAGGCCAAGGTGGAGAGGCTTTGTAGGGGCCGGGTGTGTCCTCCCAGATAGCCAGGCTGGGGCCCTGGCCAAAGTGCTTTTCTGAAGCAACGATGGAAAAAGGGGAGTGGAACTGGTTTGTGCTGCAGTCCTGGCCTGTTCCCAGCCCCAGGCTGGTTTTCCCCACATGCACAGCTTCTGAGGAGGCCTGGAGCAGGGAGCTGGGTATTTTGTGTGTGTGTTGGTGGGGGGTCAAGGCCAGGAGGGGTGAGGAGAGAGCCAGAGCAGGTAAGATGCCAGGTTCTCACCAGGGCACCTCTCGTGGCTTCCCGCTCATCTCATTCCTCAGATGCTACTTTGTAACCTGAATTGAAAATGGGTCAGGTCCTGGCAAGGGAGGGGCCAAACTGCAGACCGGCTGACGCGGTGCTGGGCCTGGGCCTGGAGCACGGGGCTCAAGTTCCCACTTTGTGCGTTTGGAGCCAAGTGGGGCCTGAAAGCCCTGGCAGCAGTGGCTGGTCCCCTCCCTGTCATGGCTTACTGGACCGGGCAGCCCTAGGGCCTTGCCCCCTACTGCCTCCCCAGGCCAGCTGAGGAAGAGGATGAGCAGTGCAGGCTGGCTCAGCCCTGGGTAGCAGGGACAGAGCAGGTGGCCAGGACTGGGGACAGTGGGCTTTAGTGCAGGGGCTTTTGCACTGGACTGCAAGCCCTGAGCAGGTGACCTGAGCAGGTGTGTGACCAGTGCCTGTCTGTCTGCAATAGCCCTGACCCTCTATTCTGCACCCTGTGAGCCACCGAGACTGAACCAAACCCAGGAAGCGGCGCCACCAACCAGCCTCGCAGAGGCAGAGGCCCTGGAGCAGTGACAGCACAGGAGATCTGCTGGCTCGGGGGAAGGGGAGGAAAGAGGAAAACAAAGGGAGTGATCGAGTGAGCCTCGCCCCGCCCTCCCTGCGCCGGCCCATGATGTGTCAGTCAGAGGCGCGGCAAGGACCAGAGCTCCGCGCGGCGAAATGGTGAGATGCTGCCCACCGCGCCCTAACCCCACGGTTCCCCGCCACGACCTCCGGAAGGTCAGAGTTCACATCCAGCGGCCTCGCAGTAGAGGTGGCGGCAAGGGGACTGGTGGTCAGCCCCCGAGGCTGGAGGAGCCTGGCCTGGGGGGCCTGAGCACCCTGAGTCGGAGAGCCCGCTTCAGGTATCTTTGGTTCCAACCATGAGGAGGGCCCAGCAGGGGGAGGCTGCCAGCGAGCCTCAGACCTCATGCCTGCGATCTTCCCTACCCTGGTGCTCCCAGGCCCCCTGCTCGCAGCCCAGACCCTTGCCTCTGCACCCCACCTAGGAGAGAGGCTTCCCCATTCCCCTTCCTGCCCATGGGAGGGGTGTAGCTCTTCCCAGTTGGTCCCTGCTCTTCTGCAGTGAGTGGGGCAGGTGGCAAAGCCAGAGGGGAGCAGTGATTTGTCTTTGCTTGGCCCCTGCCACCTTCCTGGACCTTTTAAAAATACACCGGGGTGCGATGGGAGAGAAAGTAGGCACCCGGGAGCTGCGTGGATGCAGCCAGCTCTGAGCCTGAGCCTGAGCGGGGTTCGCCACTGGTTCGCCTGCCGTCTGCTCTGCTGCTATCAGCTGAGATGCTGCTTTGTTCCTTGGTTTGCTCAGCAACTGGGAGAGAGGACTCAGCTTCTCTTGAGAGCACAGTCCCAGATGGCAGCCGTAGATTAGCTAAATGCAGTTACTTTGCAGATGAGGAAACTGAGACCTGGGGACGTTCTGAGTGGATGGCAGTGTGGTCTCCTGCTGGCTACCCTGGGCCTCAGGAGCATTTGCTAGGCCTAGGCACAGACAGGGTGGGGTGGGCCTTGTTTAGGCGCAGGAGGCCAGGGTTGTGGTGGAAAGGCCCGTCCAGCCTCTGCGGCTCTGGTGAAGCTGAGCCCCTGCTGAGTGCCCTGCATTTGTGCTGGGAGGGTGGGGAGAGGCCGGATCACAGAGAGGCTGGATGCAGAAAGGAGGGGCTTGGGTCTCGTGTGTGTGTGTGTGTGTGTGTGTGTGTGTGTGTGTGTGTGTGTCCACCTTTGCTGAAAGGAGGGGCTTGGGATGGGTGTGTGTGTGTGTGTGTGTGTGTGTCTGTCTGTGCAGCCCCAGCAGAGCAGACAGGTGGCTTGAGAGCTTGTGGTGGGGAGGTTTTGTTCACAAACCTGTGGATGGGTTTTCAGAACCTGGCCTGTTATAGAAAGACCATGCAGATGGATGGAGCCGTAGCTGTGTGGTGGTGGTAGGCGGAGTGTAAATGCTCCCTTTGAGATCTTGTCTGGCCTTGGCCCCGTAATTTAGCAGATGAGGAAAGGGGGGGCCTGGAACCATGAAAAGGATATCCCAGATCCTGCAAAGGATGGTAGCGGAAGACTCAGCAAATGGTTACCCAGCTGGCTGGGTCGTAGCTCCTCAGCGCTATGTGCTGCCGTGCCAGTGCCTGTGTGGCAGAGCTGGCCCCTGGGGCCCACTCTCCTGGGCTGCGGAGGCTGAGGGATGTGAGGCAGGCCCTACACCCTGCTCTCCCCTTCCTGGGCCCAGGTGCTTGGGCCTGGAGGCCCTTGCTGGGAGCTGCTGCAGCTGAGAGGTGCCCCGCAGCTGGGCCTGACTCTCCTCTTGCGGCTGCCCCCACATTCCCAGTCCTCCCCAGCTGGCTGGCGGGTGGGAGAGCCTGGGAAATGAGTCCGCTAGCCAGAGGCAGCCAAGCCCCTGAATCAGAATGGGGTTGGGACGAGGGGGCACAGCCAGTGCTTGCTGGGCTCCATCACCCCCATGGAGAGGCAGCTTGCCAAGGGTGGGTAGACAGGAGGAATCCTGCCCTGGGTGCAGGTGGCAGCCTCCTGGGTCCTGCCCAGAGCCTGGCCACTGACCTGGCTGTGCATGGACCTGTGCCCTGCAGGTTGCACTTCCCCCAGCTGGCCCTGAGGCGGAGGCTGGGGCAGCTGAGCTGCATGTCCAGACCCGCTCTGAAACTGCGCTCCTGGCCCTTGACCGTCCTCTACTACCTCCTGCCCTTCGGCGCCCTCAGACCGCTCAGCCGGGTGGGATGGAGGCCCGTAAGCAGGGTAAGTGTGCACAGGCCCCTGTGGCTCGGACCTCCCTTCCGGGCAGGCCTGAGGTTGGGGTGCAGGAGAGACTGAGGTGGTGGCGAGCTGTCAGAAGCAGAGGTCACCGCTACATCTTCAGGGGGTCCGGGTCGGAAGGTTCATTGGTGGGCAAGGCCAAGGCAGCTTTTGAGAAGGCCACTACCTGGGCCGCGGGTGACTGCGAGGGCATGTCGTGCCCTGCCCACTCCCCTAGCCTGCCTCATGTCTGCCATTTGGGGCTCTGGTTCTGGAAGGAACCCAGTCTGGGGATTCAGAAAATGGTGTCTGTCTCTGATTTTTCTGTGTTCAAGCAAAAAAGAGCTTATAGGTGATTTTGAACAGAAGCCAAATTAATTCCGGGATGCCAAAGGGGTGGTTCAGGATGGATGGATCCTGTTTGGGTCCCTTAGGGTGAGGACACCCTTAAGGAACCCAGAGGCATGCCCCAGGAATGGGCAAGGGAACTGGCTTGTCCTCTCCTGGTCCCTAGAGGGCTTGCTCTTGCCCTTGGCTTCCCAGGCAGGTTGACCCCAAGGAGGAAACCCTGTTCCTGGGCCTTTGACAGTCACATGGGTGTCATCAGAGCTCAGGGGCACTGAGGCACCCTGGACATTAGCCCAGGCTCCCACCTGTGCCTGGGAAGGGCCTGGGCTCACATAGCCCTTCTGTGTGACTGGGCATCAGCTGGAAGGGATAAGAGCAGCTCTCTGGGAGCTTACCTTACCTTGGAGAGGTGTTGAAAGTTGGAATGAAATCAGTTTTACACCTTGGGGAGTTGGTGTCTTGGTTGTGTTTAGAGAAGCAGCAGCCACCAATTACAGGCAGCTTCTACAGTGGCAGCAGCACCTGAAGTTTAAGAGGCTGCCCCTTCCTGGGTACCTGGCCCTGCCGGAGAGCTCTGGGACCATCTAGTGGGACCCAGTGCTTGTCCCCAGGCCATCGTCTGTCTTAGGTGCTCCAGGCTTCCCTGAAGGAAGAGAGAACAGAGGGGCCTGAGGGGATGACTTCTCTTTGCCTCCTGGGAGGAACCCCAGGTGCAGATGGCTTTATGGCCTGGCTCAGTCACAGTAGAACGTTGAACACAAGTCCTGCCGTGGGGCCAAGGTGGGGCTCAGCAGGGCTGGGCTTCTCAGACTGGCTGCATCCAGGCCCTCAAGAGTGCTGGCTGGACCTGTGGGGGCTGCAGACCCTGTGTCTGCAGCTCAGGCCCAGGTGACAGTGACATCGCAGACCTGCATCTGAAAATCCCTGTTGGTGCTCAGGGTATCCTCCTTCTTCCTGTTAAGACAGAGGGACACACTTTGGGCTGTAGACTTGTTCCATGCACTTGGGAGCCTCCTCCTTTGGTGGTCTGGGATATGGGCAGTGACCACGGGCAAGATGCCCACCACCTCTCCACACACTGTGATATTGGGGTCACCGTGGCTAGGGTCACACACTGTGGTTAGGATCAGATCCGTTTCCGACCCCCACTTTAAGAAGTAAGACTGCTGGGCGTCTCCCGTTCTGGGACTGGAGCAGTTGCTATTTGACTTTTGCATGAAATGATGAAATCCACTGGAGTTGTATGTAAATCCAGCACTCCGTGTGGCAGGTGCAGTCTGGTTCCCAGTGAGAAACAGCCACATCACAAAAGCAGCGTGGGGCACCTGGGCCCTGGTGTCCTCCGTGGGGTGCAGATTCTCCCCTGAAGTGAGAGCTGGGCTAATGACACTACTTGGGCTCTCTGGAGCTGGGGCAGTGTGGTCAACTCAGCCCCTTGCCCTGTGGCCTGCAGGTGGCTTTGTACAAGTCAGTGCCAACGCGCTTGCTGTCACGGGCCTGGGGTCGCCTCAATCAGGTGGAGCTGCCACACTGGCTGCGCAGGCCCGTCTACAGCCTGTACATCTGGACGTTTGGGGTGAACATGAAAGAGGCCGCTGTGGAGGACCTGCATCACTACCGCAACCTCAGCGAGTTCTTCCGGCGCAAGCTGAAGCCGCAGGCCCGGCCTGTCTGTGGCCTGCACAGCGTGGTGAGGCCTGACCCTTTCCTCCTGCAGGAAACAGGACTTTTTCCTGCCTCCCCAGCACAGCCCCCCTGGTCTCCAGCGTATCTGGAAGGGGCAGGATGACAAGGGGAGGTGGGGGCTGTCTCCTGGGGGGAGGAGACCCTGCTCTCCCTGGCAGCAAGCCTCTCCTGCCCTTCCAGATTAGCCCATCGGATGGAAGGATCCTCAACTTTGGGCAGGTGAAGAACTGTGAGGTGGAGCAGGTAAAGGGGGTCACCTACTCCCTGGAGTCGTTCCTGGGCCCGCGTATGTGCACAGAGGACCTGCCCTTCCCACCAGGTGGGTCACTGCACAGGCGGGGCTAGGCAGCCCTGCTGCTGTGTGGCTGGACCGGGAGGGAGGGGAATGCTGGGGAAGGAACTGAGGCTGGCATGTGGGGCCTCCCTGAGAATCCATGTGCAGACCACACTCGGGCTCCGTGCTGGGTGCTCACTGTGTTGGTGGCCCCCACGTCTGCTCCTACTCCACAGCCGCGTCGTGTGACTCCTTCAAGAACCAGCTGGTCACCCGGGAAGGGAATGAGCTCTATCACTGTGTCATCTACCTGGCCCCTGGGGACTACCACTGCTTCCACTCCCCCACCGACTGGACTGTGTCCCACCGGCGCCACTTCCCAGGTCAGCCCGGGGCCAGCGTGGGGGGAGCTGCCTCTGTGGGCTTCATATAGAGGCTCTCAGCTTCTTGGTGTTGGGGGACCAGGCTCCAGATCAGGGTCATTGAGGCCAGGAGTTGACTGCTTTATGCAGGCTGGTTGTGGGCAGGGGACCGTGGGGCCCAGTCAGCTCAGCATTTGGAGTGACATCGGGGCAACAGGCCATGAGTCCCTTTGGGTCTTGGCTGCCATGGGGTGGACACACCGGGCTCTGGACGGGGAGTAGCGGCATTCCCTGCCTCTGCAGGCTCCCTGATGTCAGTGAACCCTGGCATGGCTCGCTGGATCAAAGAGCTCTTCTGCCATAACGAGCGGGTGGTCCTGACGGGGGACTGGAAACATGGCTTCTTCTCACTGACAGCTGTGGGGGCCACCAACGTGGGCTCCATTCGCATCTACTTTGACCGGGTAAGCAGGATCTAGGCCCTGCCAAAGCCCAAGGGCCAGACCTCTTGGGTCTACCTGCCTTGTCTGCTGTGCGGCGGATGCGTTGGGACTGAATTCTAGGGAGGCCACAGCTCTGGTCAGGCCTGGCTCTGCTGAGCAGCTGTCCTGAGAATGGCCGCTCCACCTGCCAGCCAGCTGAGGCTTCCCTCCCTCCTTGCACTGCTGGCTGGAAGTGGCTGGAAGAGATGGAGGGAATTAACCTCCTTGCCTGGCACCTGGCTTCTGCTAGGAACCATGGTCAAAGGTGAGAGTGAGGAGGGAACAGAAAGGGAGTGTTGAGCTCGGGGTGGCTCATGTTGGTTACAGCATGAGGGGTCAGCACTCGCAGGTCTGCTGCCCACCCTGCCCCCAGGGGCTGCCTTTTTGGGTGTCAGTTTGTGACCAACGGCCTTGGCTCCCACGGGTGCTGCTCTCCCAGCACCATGCATGGAGACCACTGGGCCCCACTGTTCCCTGTCCTCCCTGGGCCCAGTTCACAGCAGGTGTCAAGGCTGTGTGTGAGATCTGGCTAGAGCAGGCCCACCTGGCCCTGAGATGCCATCCCCACCTCCCTTTTGGAGCTGGGTTGGGTGGTGGTGGGGACAAGCAACAGAGGGAGTGGGACTCCAAACACATGTGGGGGTGACACTGTGCACTTGGTGGCCTGGGCCCCACTGACCCCCAGCCTATCACCACAGGACCTGCACACAAACAGCCCAAGGCACAGCAAGGGCTCCTACAATGACTTCAGCTTCGTGACGCACACCAATAGAGAGGGCGTCCCCATGCGTAAGGGCGAGCACCTGGGCGAGTTCAACCTGGGCTCCACCATCGTGCTCATCTTCGAGGCCCCCAAGGACTTCAATTTCCAGCTGAAAACAGGACAGAAAATCCGCTTTGGGGAAGCCCTGGGCTCGCTCTAGAGTCTCTTTCCTGATTATGGCTGCTAAGGGATCTTTTCCAAACAGAGTGAGGGTCTTTTCAAGAGGGAGGCCCATGAGGCCATCCAGGTAAGGGCCTGCCTCAGCGTGGTTGGGAGTCTGACCAGGTAGGACTTGAATGATTCGGCTACCACCTGTTCCAGAGGTGCAGACAAGAGGTGGCGAGAGCCCCCATCATGCCCCTCAACCTATCCCGTTCCTTCTGCCTACAAATAAAAAGTGCAGGCTGGAATGATCTCAGTCACATTTGGATCTTTTTAAACACTGTATAGACGGAAGAGCCTGCATTCCTGACCGAACCTTCAGTTGGTCTCGGTTGTCGTTTTTTCTTGCTGCTCCTCCCCCCATCACCTGAGCTGTTTTCTGTTGGCCCCTTTTGTTTTTTGGCCTTAACGCTCCTGCTGCACAGGGTGAGGTGCCTCCTTGGCACAGACTGTGGATGCCTCTCCCCCAGCAGAGCCACACAGCCTTCGTGACAACTGCTTTCCGTTCCCACATTCACCTCATCCTGCTCTTTAGAAAAAGCAGTCTTTGTGCTTGTGGCTGAACGCATCACCCTGGACTCTGCTAGTGTCTTCTGAGGACACTGATGACACTGATTAATGATACAGACCTTTGCAGGACCTGATGAGTGACCCTTCTGGAGCTGGCCAGGTCCTCTGCAGCAGGCAAGACCAATCAATCACTGAACCTGCCTCATGGCACCAGAGTGAACAGGGCAGGCAGGTAGTAGGCCCAGCTGGGGAAATGGGAGAGTTCCTGTCCCCCTCCACATATCCCTACATGAAATATGGGAAAGTTGCTGCTATTGATTCAGGGTCTGTCTTGGAGGCAGAGGACCCTTGGTGGATAGTTGGTCAGTGCCTGGAAAACCTGTCCCAGTTTATCAGGAACGCAGGCCTGGGGAGCCCCCAGTGGCGGGGACAGGGCCAGATTTCATGTTGACCCTGGGGATGCTGTGAATTTCTCCTGCAGGAGAGACATCATTGAATTTTTTCAACTGTATCAGTAGCACAGTATTTTTGTATGAAAAGTGGGAGACTTCTGAACAGTAATTCATTTAATTGCAAAGCATTTTGAAATAAAAAAAATCAAACTTAAAACTGTGTTCTGTTCCTGGAGGTGGCCTGAGGCCTCCCCGACAGCCCAGCACCTGCGTTCCTGGTGCGAACACGCTAGCACAGGGCCTGCCGCAGGGCCTGGATGCGGGCAACGCAGGCGCCAATGGGCTGGCGCTGAGCCTGGAGCTCCTCTGCCAGCAGCTGGATCTGCATTTCCACCTGGGGCCATGGAGGGACAGGCAGGGCTGAGAGGGAGCACAGCCCGGGGCGTCCCCAGGGACACCTGGGGATGGCCTGGGGCCTCACCTGTTCCAGCTCTTTCTGCACCTGCTGCTCTACTTCCTGGTCCTCAGGCCCCGGCTCCTCTCTGTTCAGCTCCAGCCACCTGCGCAGGCTGCTCGCTTGCCGCCGACAGGACCTGAGGGGTGGAGATACCCACTGCCTGCCAGGCTGGGTCCTTGGCAGAGCCCCATCCGGCTCAGGGAGAGGCACCTCAGCTAATTCTGATGCGGGTATCGGGTGGAGAGAGGTGGTCTGGTAGGGCCCCTGACCTGAACTGCAGGCCCCTGCTTGGGAGCCAAACACTTGTTCTTTTTCCTCTCCCAGTCTCCTCCGCCCTCCCCAGCAGACAGCAACTCAGGTGGGCCTGGGCAAGAACACACTCCTTGTCTCTCTCCCCCTGTGCAGAGCCAAGGATGAGGCGCCAGTCTGTTGCCCTGGAAGCTCTGAGGTTGCTGCATGTTGAATGGTCCCCAGACCACTGAGTGCAGCTGAGTCACGGGCCTGTCTCCTCTGCATTTTTTTTTTTTTTTGAGATGGAGTGTTGCTGTGTTGCCCAGGCTGGAGTGCAATGGCGTGATCTCAGCTCACTGCAACCTCCGCCTCCCAGGTTGAAGCGATTCTTCTGCCTCAGCCTTCCAAGTAGTTGGGACTACATGCGTGCACCACCATGCCCGGCTAATTTTTGTATTTTTAGTAGAGATGGGGTTTCACCATATTGGCCAGGCTGGTCTTGAACTCCTAACCCCGTGATCTGCCTGGATCACAGCCTCTCAAAGTGCTGGGATGACAGGTGTGAGTCACTGCGCCTGGCCCTTCTCTGCACCTTTAATATCAGTGTTATAATTAGTCACTGGGGACAGCATGGCCTCATCGGGTTTTTAGAGTTTTGCTCAACTTTATCGTCCCCCCCATAGGAAGCAGAGCCTCTGTGCACAGGTGAGTCTGACGACTTGGGCCTTCCTAAGCAGCACTGAGCCGGGTAGAGAGCCATGGTGGAGATGGGGTCTTTCTGGACAGCACACACTGAGGGCTCCCCACACCCCTCCATGGCTAGACCGAGACCACCTACAGGACCCTGGCAGCTGGCTCGGGGGAAATGGAACTGCCTGCCCACCTCTCCAGGCAACACCTGCTCCTGTAGCCAGGGCTGCAGGGCGTTTCGCAGGGCTCACCAGAGGTTCTGCTTGGTGGTCTGGTAGTGCAGTAGTTGCTGCTGGATCTCCTCAAGTTCAGCCTCAAGGTCCAGGCTGCCTATGGCGACAGAAGTAAGCTTGTTTCAGACTATTTTCCCCTCGGGGACCAGGGTAAATAGCAAGTCCCAGGTCCGGGAGTGGCCTGAGTGCTTTCTGCCCTGACAGGCCCCAGGTACACACCTGCAGTTGAAAGTCCAGGCCCAGCCCTGGTGGCTGAGAAGTCCCCAGGAAGGAGTAGATGGGGGTCAGGGACACTGGCCAGGGATGAGGGGACCGGGGGCTTATCCCTAGGAGTAGCCCGCTGTGCTGACACCTGCAAAGGAAAGAAGGGTAGATGCTGAGCAAGGAAGCTAGGAGGAAGCCAGGGAGGGGGACACCAAGTCCTTGTCACTGCCTGCCCTGCAGGGGTGGGGGAAGACCAGGCTCCCAGCTGCAGGAGCTGGGCTTCCCAGGCACTGGCCGTGCCAGCTCAGTGTCTAGCCTGCCCCTGCACACAGGGCCTGGTACTGTAGGGGAAAGTCCCGCAAGCAACCAGGGAGCACCCCGTGTCACCACAGTCCGCCTCACGCCTCCACTGCCTGAGCAGCTGTTCCTAGCCTTGCCTTACCCAACCCTCCACCCCCACCTGCTCTAAGCTCATGACCTTGCTGAGCTTTGACATCAGTGAGAAGTGGTCAGTGAGAGGCCACTGCTCTACAGCCTTTTCCATGCCCTCCTCTCCTGGTGAGAGTGGACTTGCCCCTTCCATCACCGGACAGGGGTCAAAACCCTTTCAAACCCACATTCAAACCATTCCAGCCAGGGTAAGTGGCCCCACATGGCCTAACTCACCACAGGAACTGGTTCCTTCCTGTCCCCTCATCCCCTTTCAGGAACCAGCTGCTTTGGTGGCCTTAGAGCAGCTGTCACTTCCATTACTGAGCTCTCACACCCCCTGGCCATCCCCACCCAGGCTCCCTGCTTGGAGCCTCCTCCCCTCTCTCCTTCCCCTGTACTCTCCTCCTAGAGGCCGCAGTGGCTCTGGGGTTACCTTCGGCCTGTGCTGAAGATTCTTCTCAATCTCTGGCCCTGACCTCTTCCTTGAAGGTCAGACTCAACGTTTGCTTTCTCTCAAATTTGACATCAAGAGCCTGGTTCAAAACACTCTTGACACTTCACCCCAAACCAGTCCCCACCCCCAGTTCCTTCTTCCAGTCAAAGAACTCTGTTTCCCAAGTTATTCAAGCCAGCAGCCCACATCAGCCTGGATTCCTTCTTTCCCCTCATTCAGCAACTCCCTCAGAGCAGCATATCCTGCCTCATCTGCCTCCAAGAGAGTACCTGTCCCCTCTGTGGCAACCGCTGAGCCCAGGCCACCAGTACTACTTGCCTGGACCACGTGGTCATGGTGACCACAGCCTGCACAGAAACCTGACATGGTGCTCCCTGCCAAAACCCTTCCCCGACTTCCTACTCTTCTCAAATCCCAGGCTACTTCTCACTGTGGCCTGCAGGACCCTACGTGATCTGCAGCCACTTTACTGGCCTGCAGGCAGGGGTTTTTCTTTGCTTGTCTCTGACTAGAATATAAGCTTCAGGATGGCAGGGCCCTTGGCTGGCTGTTCACTGCTGTGGCCCTTGGACCTGGTGTGCAGTGGCTACCTATGCTTGTCAAATGGATGAGTGGCCTCCCTGTGCCAAGGTTTTCCAGAAACTAGTACAGCTGTGGCATGAGAAAGCACCAGAAGTCAGACCAGAGTGAGAGCCCCAGTGCCCAGGCCTGGTGGTGGAGGACGTACCCTGGCTGGTGCAGCCGCCCCGCAGGGCATGAAGGAGGAAAGAGGCAGCAGCAGCAGCTCCGGGCCTGTGCTTGCCGTCGGGGGCTGCTTCGGGCCAGGGGCGCTTGACAGGGCCCCAGGCAGGGGGCTGTGTGGGACCAGTGCTGTCGGGGCCTCTGCCAGGAAGGGCCGCGTCAGGGAGGGGGCTGCTGGCTGAGCCATGCCTAGGCCATGTTCCTGTGGCTTCTGAGGCCTGAGCACAGGGAAGGCAAGAGCCTGGTCAGGCCACAGGACCCTCCTCTGGGACCAAAGAACAAGAAGGAAAGGGGGCCACCCACCCCAGGGCTGCCAAAACACAGGCCCCACATGGAGGTGCCCGCTGCCTTTGGGGACCCCTGACCATCTCCCCCTGCCTGCCCACGGTGCTGCACCCCAGGGACCTCTGGCTCTGCGCAGGCTCCAACAGGAAGTGTGGGCGTCGCGGCTGCTTCCTCGCTGAGTGGGCAGTGTTGCTGGAAAGAAACATGGGGTCTGTTCCCCTGGGCTGACCAGGGGCTGCAGGGGGGTCTGAGATCTCTGTGGGATCTCCAATTTTATAGGGAGACTGAAAGTCAGGAAAGGCGAGGCCAAGGTCAGCAAGTAAGCTGGGGTGGGCCTGGGCCATAGAGCTCCCAGCAGTTCCGACAAAAGGTACCTGACGCCAGGGGACTGCTTCACCCACATTGTCTCTTTTGACCTGCAGAACAACCCTGGTGACGCTGGTGTACAGGTCGCCAGGGTCCATGTCACAGGGGAGCAGCCTCTGAGACGTTCAGGATCCCATCAAGGTCAGTCAAACAGTGAGGAGCACAGCAGGGACCGGGACCCAGGCCCCATGCACCCACCTGACATCTCCCCCGAGGCCCAAGGCTCTCGGGTAGTGCTGGTTGCTGTGGGAGCCACCAGCTTCATCAGCATGGGGCAGGGCAGGTTAGGGTTTGAGGAGACCATAGTAGGGGTGGGCAGAGGGACAGGTGCCAGCTCACACAAGAAAGAGGGGCTTCTGACAAAAAGCCAGTGTCTTGGCTGTGATGGAGCAGAAGAGAGGCCGGCAGGCACGGGTAGGAGCTGAGCTTGTTCCCTTTGTCAACTACGTGTATGACTCCGGAAAAGATCGTGTCAGCAGGACGGGAGAGAGGGTAGGAAGGTGTTGCAGAGGAGGGGACACCTATTTCCTGAGCTTTGGCAGGCAAAGGAGAGAGGGTTTGGAAATCCCACTCCATTCTCTCCCTCTTGCCGTGGGAGGGATGGGATCTGGCTGGAGAAGAGGGGGTTCCCAGCAGCTCAGCTGTGACAAGGCCGTGACCAGCCCGTCCCATCCCGTCAGGGCTGTTTTCCTCCCTGCTATGCCATCCAACCTTTTGCCCAGGGTGGAAGCGAGGACAAGGTGAGCACAGGCTACTCACAGCTCCAGGGCGTGGGGCTCCTCAGCAGCCAGGCGGCCCAGAGCTCCCAGAGGCCGAGAAGCCTGTGGCCTCTTGGTCTCAAGGGTGCCATCCCCAGCCCCAGCAGCAATGCGGTTGAGAAGGGGACCCTCAAACGTCACTTTCCTGCTGGGTGCGATGGCTGCCAGGGGCTGAGGCTTCCCGCCCCGGCCCAGCACTTTCTGTTTCCAGAGCGTGGCACAGCGGCGGACGGCACGATGGAGACTGTGAGCCGCCTACAACACAGCCTCTGGTCAGCTCATGCCACACCCTGCCTGCTCCCCACAGGAAGGGGCCCTGGGCCTACCTGGACCTGCTGCTGGGCCTGCAGCTGCTGCCGGGAGGCCTTCATGCTGGCTGCAAAGCGCAGGAGCCGCGTGGCACCCTCCTGGAGGAGCTGCCCCTGGTAGGCCTGGAGCGCCCACTGCAGCCGCGCCTTCTTTCTCCTCCTTTCCAGTACAAAGGCCAGCCACGTGGCCCACACCTCCAGGGAGGGCAGGAGGTGAGGCCCAGGTCTCCCTGCTTAGAGCTCCCCCACAGACCAGGTGCCCTCCCTCCACCCAAGGCAGGGCTAAGGCCTGAGGGAGAGGCAGGGATGGTAGGATGCAGAGCCCCAATTACCTTTGCCTGCAGCGAGAAGGCCCAGAACCACAGGGCCCGCACTGTCGCCCGCTGCTCCTGCCTCCTGGCTGCCAGCTAGGGCCAGAAAGACCAGATCATTTCCCTATAGCCCCTTCAAGGAGGCCGTGGTGATCACGGGGCCCTGCCCAGCTCGTCCCTCTTGGCTCCCTCTCTAGTCGAGGCTCCCACTTCCTCCACTAGGAAGGGCCAGCCTTGTGCCTGGCGGTGAGATGCTCAACACACGCTCCATCTGTGGCCTGAGGAATGACCTTCATGAAAGAAGGTGGCAAAGGGCTCCTGCAGGGGGATGCGTGGAGGCAGCGGCCTGAGGTCCGGGGAATGGTGAAAACAGGACAACAGAACGGGAAGAGGGAGCTGGGGACGTGTGGATGCTGCTCTGTGTGATCCCTCTTGGCTTTTTAAAAAGCAAGATCCCAGCAAAGCCTTAAAACACATTTCATGTTAATTTTTAAGATATTATGCTGATTTTTCTTTTTGAGATGGAATCTCACTCTCATCCAGGCTGAAGTGCAGTGGCATGATCACAGCTCACTGCAACCTTGACCTCCCGGGCTCAAGCAATCCTCCCGCCTCAGCCTCCCGAGTAGTTGGGACCACAGGTGTGCACTGCCTACACCCAGCTAATTTTTCTGTTTTGTTTTTGTAGAGATGGGGTCTCACTATGTTGCCCAGGCTGGTCTTGAACTTCTGGGCTCAAGTGATCCTCCTGCCTCGGCCTCCCAAAATCCTGGGATTATAGGCGTGAGCCATCATGCCCGGCCCACTGATTATATATATATATATATATATATATATATTTTTTTTTTTTTTTTTTTTTAGACAGAGTCTCGCTCTGTTGCCCGGGCTGGAGTGCAGTGGTGCTATCTCAGCTCACTGCAAGCTCTGCCTCCCAGGTTCACGCCATTCTCCTGCCTCAGCCTCCCGAGTAGCTGGGACTACAGGCGCCCACCACCACGCCTGGCTGATTTTTTTTGTATTTTTAGTAGAGACGGGGTTTCACCGTGTTAGCCAGGATGGTCTCGATCTCCTGACCTCATGATCCGCCTGCCTCGGCCTCCCAAAGTGCTGGGATTACAGGCGTGAGCCACTGCGCCCGGCCTCCACTGATGTATTTTTTAATACAACACTGTAGAGAGAGAAACTGGCCTTGAAGTAACTGTTCTTATGCAGACTGCAGACGGAAGGAAGCTGATGTGCCTGGAAATGACAGGAAGGTGGTAGAGGAGGTGGCCCTGGGGAGGGTGATAGTAAAAATACTGAACTAGAGGTGTAGGCTGAAGGTCATTCACTGCCCAGGCCTCACAGGCCAGAGGATGGAGAAGGAAGTGCAGAGGGGACATCTCCTGGGTTCCCACCTGTTGTCTCCACTGGCGGAAGCAGGTCCGGCTGAGTCTCTGTGCCAGCAGTTGGGTGCTCTGCCTGTGCAGGAGCTGGGGGAGAGCAAGTGCACAGAGAGTGGCGTCCTGACCCAGCCTAGACAGCCTGGGGTGGGTCCTGATCTAACCCAGCCTCTGCCCAGCTGAATGTCCTCCCATTGCTAGGAGTCCTGGATGGTGCCAGGGGTCTCCTGCATAGGCAGGGAGTGCCGCCTAGAGGACTCACTCTGTAGGTCCCCCAGCACTGATAAGCCACGGGTCAGCATGAACCGGGTTTTTCCGCTGAGCCGTCTTCCCTGGGAGACACTGGATTCTGGGGCTGGCTACTCGCTAGGCTCCACCAAACGCCCAGAAAGGCTCCTGCAGCTTTGTCTTACAGGACCCCAAACCACCCACCACTCATACCGGCTGCATGGAGTGCTGTCAGGAAAGACCCCTTCCTGAGAAATGGTCTCCTGGCCTGGACACCCCTTGCCAGGCAGGCAGAACTTGGAGAGTTGCCACCGTCAGCCTCACCCTCTTCCTGACACACTGCAGATGGTGCGTCTTCCACCGGGCCAGCCCCTCCAGCAGCAGCTGCCGGTGGTGGTGTTGCACTGCCCTCTCCAGCTGCAGTCTCTGCTGGGCTGACCTCCGGCTGCAGTCCCACCAGCGCTGAAACCAGGTCCGCAGACAGCCTAAGGCAGATCCAAGTCAGAGTTTGCTGTTTTGTGGGATTTCCACCAGTGACTACATAATGGTGAAGGTGCAGACAGCAGAGATGGCTGTGCAGGGATAGAGTTCAGGTGTCCAGCCCACATGGTGAAACTACCACACATGGACCATGGCCCCTCTCTAGGGACAGCTCTGGCCACCTTTGCCAACAGTGAACCCCCCGGGGACTGGAACCAGATCTGTTTACTGTTGTGCTCCCCAACAGCCCTCTGAGAGCCACAAGCCTGTCCACAGCCTCCACAGGGGTGCCAGGGGCACCCTAAGAGTCACGTGCAAAATGCTGCTGGGCACGTGGAAGAAGACCCTCAGTCTGAGGGGGGAGGAGGAGGAGCCCCCACTTCAGCTGCAGCTTGGAAGAGAGGGCAGCCTGTTTTGCCAGGGTGGAAACCAAGGCCCAGTCACAGCAGTCAGAGCAGCCCAAGCCACGGATGGGGAGGACAGCGCTGGTCGCCAGGCCATGCCCTCTGGCTCCCTGGGTTCTGCAGGAATGGGCCACATCCTGCATTTTGTTTTTGTGTCACCAGATTCTCCCTTTGGTGAATCCTTCTTAGGCCCTGAGAGAACTTTCTTTTTGAGACAACAGAACAGGGTTGAGAGCAGGGCACAGATGCCAAGATGAGGAGCCCTCCAGGCCCACTGAGGCAGGCAGGGAAGGCGGCAGATCACAAGTGGGAGGCACCCACATTAGTGCTGCATGCTGATGCCTGGGCTCTGTCCTAAGTGTGTATCTCTCTACCTGTCATCTCACTTGATCTCCACGACAACCCCAAGAGGTAGGCACTGTTATCCCCATCTTACAGATGAAGACATTGAGACTCAGAGAGGGGGCCTGCTGGAGGTCACACACACAGCCAGGTTATGACCGCCAGCCTGTACTTCTTCAGCACTCTGCATAATGGGTCTTGTGACATCCTCCCCTCAGTCCCTCCTCCCAGTCCCACCCTTGGCCTGCCAAGGTGTGCCTGAGACACTGAGGCCTTAATACAAGCCAGTCAATTGTTCCCCAGGTATTTACTGTGTACCTACTACGTGTACACTGTCTTGCAGCCCAGTCTCCCAAGCCTCTCATACCATCTGTAATGGACGTGGCAACCCAAGCCTGCCACCGCCTCCCTCTAAGGAAAGTCCTTCAGAGAGCAGCGGCTTCCGGCAACACTCAAACCCGTCGCCTCTAACTTCCCACCATGGCCAGGAGTGGGCACCTGACCCTTAAGGCAGCTGACCCAAACTGGCCAAAAGCCTCTGGAGCTTGAAGCTGCACGGTCAGGTGCCCAAAGGGTCAGGTGCAGAAGCTCCAGAGCCCAAGGTCTGGCTAAAGCCCTCGGCTTCTTTCTTCGTAAACTAGAAACACAGTGCTGGTTTCTGAGCTGAGGAGAAGCTCCAGGACCCAGCAGCACATTCGTGGCGCAGTAATGCAGCCGTGTGGGATGGCTGACCCCAGGGTTTTGTCCCCAGGATGTGTGTTGAAACATGCTCATTAACACACACGCTACAGTCGGAACCAAACCAAAGCTGATTCAGTTTTGTCCTGGAGCAAACTCTATTAAACCAACTTAACCACTTGGTCAATTTCTCTATGGGCCAATTTAAACAATTTCTAAATGTTTTCACTTTTATTTGTATTTTCATTTATTCTAAAAATGAGCTGTCCCCTTCAGCGTGTCAGATTCTCCTACTATGGGACCCCTAGCTGTGTTAGGAGACAGCTCCCCATGGGTCTGCCGCGTGTCTGTGCATCTTGCAAGCAGGGGCATGGACTCCTGTTCTAGACTATCTTTCCAAAGATTTTTTAAAAGAGACTAGGTCTTGGCCAGGTGTAGTGGCTCACGCCTGTAATCCCAGCACTTTGGGAGGCCGAGACGGACGGATCACGAGGTGAGGAGATCGAGACCATCCCAGCTAACACGGTGAAATCCTGTCTCTACTAAGAATACAAAAAATTAGCCTGGCGTGGTGGCACACACCTGTAGTCCCCGCTACTCTGGAGGCTGAGGCAGGAGATTCGCTTGAACCCCAAGAGGTGGAGGTTGCAGTGAGCCGAGATCGCACCACTGCACTCCAGCCTGGGAGACAGAGTGAGACTCTGTCTCAAAAAAGAGAGAGACTGGGTCTCATTCTGTCACCCAAGCTGGAGTGCAGTGGTGTGATCATAGTTCATTGCAGCCTCCAGCTCTTGGGCTCAAGTGATCCTCCCACCTCAGGCTCCCAAGTAGCTGGGACTATAGGTGTGTACCACTGTGCCCTGCAATCTTTCCAAAGATGTATATACAGCAGGCAGCAGGACTTCCTGAGATCGAATTAGAAAGTCTCTGGCCCCTAAACATTTAAGGGCCCAGCTACACAAGGAAGCAGGACGCTAACACGGTGGGGGCTGCCCTGACAAGCAGCAAGGACTTTCCCATCAAAACAACCCCCTCCCCAACCACCCCAAGCTCCTCCATTCCAGCTTCTTTTCTTTATTTCTCTGTAGATCTCAAGCTCTAGCCTTCCATTTTAACATAAACTGGTTGGCAGTCAGTTGGGAATAGATTTCTAAGATATACTGGACTGAACAGTGCCCCCTCCACACCTGCCGTATTCATGTCCTTCCTGGAACCTCACAATGTGACTTTTATCTGGCACTAGGCTCACTGCAGATGTAATTGGTTAGGATGGTGTCACACTCAAGTAGGGTGGGCCCTTCATCCGATATGACCAGAGTCCTTCTAAGGGACCCAGACACAGGAAGGGAACGATATGTCAAGATGGGGCAAAGACTGGAGCAATGGGTCTACACGTCCAGGAAAGCCATGACAAGCAAGAAACAAGCTGGGAGAGGCAAGGAAGGACCCTCCCCTAGAGCCTGTGGAGAAGCATGGCCCTGCCACACCTTGATCGCTGACTGCCAGCCTCCAGAACTGAGAGGGCAATTTTGTGTTGTTTGAAGACTCCCAGTCTGTGGTACTTTGTCATGGCAACCACAGGGAACTGGCATGTATGAGGAGGAGACAGACTTATGCGGGCCACAGGGATCTCCACAACAGCGCTGTCTTCACATTCCTCAACATGACTTGCTTCTGGGGCCCCACTTACCCCTGTCCAGCACCTTCTGGGCCTCCCAGATGGCACAGTCCTCCTGCTGTCGGTAATACATCTGCACTGACACAGCTTCCCGCCACTGGACCAGGACCTATGGGCAGGCAAGGAGCACAGCAAGAGTCACTATACCTCCTGGCTTCCGGGTCCACCCCAGGTCTGTGACGGTGGCTCCTGGAGAGGCAAGGCCAAGCTGTTGCCATTTGCTTCTCACACACGGTCCAGGAAGTAACTGCCTTGCACGCAGACCACTGAGCAATAGGACAGGGCCCCAGCCCCTCACAGGAAGCCCAGCATTTCAGCTGCTGGGACTCTTCTACCAGGATTTACATATCATACCATGCCATAAAGTAGTGAAGTCATTATATACATGGGTCTTAATTCTATTTTTATATATATATAAAATATATATATGTAATTTTTTTTTTGAGACATAGTCTCGCTCTGTCACCTGGGCTGGAGTGCAGTGGCATGATCTCGGTTCACTGCAACCTCTGCCTCCCAGGTTCTAGCGATTCTCCTGCCTCAGCCTTCTGAGTAGCTGGGATTACAGGCATGCACCACCACACCCAGCTAATTTCTGTATTTTTAGTAGAGACGGAGTTTCACCATGTTGGCCAGGTTGGTCTCGAACTCCTGACCCCAAGTGATCCACCCGACTCAGTCTCCTAAAGTGCTGGGATTACAGGTGTGAGCCACTGCGCCCGGCCTCTATTACTATTTAGTAAATGGAACACACCTACGTCGTATACATTCTTTTGTATGAGTGATGCCTACAAAATCACAATAACAAAACACTTGCCCAGGGAATGCCTGGTGCCTGCTCTGCGAGCTGTCATGAACTCCATTCCCACCAAAAAGGCCTCCTCTTCAAGCTCTGAAGCCAAGCAAAGATTCCTGTGTTCCTTCTTCCAGGGGAAGGGAGGCACAGGCTAGCTTCGGGTATTTTTTCTTTTCTTTTCTTTTTTTTGAGACAACCTTGCTCTGTTGTCCAGGCTGGAGTGCAGTGGTGCAATTCGGCTCACTGCAACCTCCACCTCCTGGATTCAAAGAGCCTGTAATCCCAGCACTTTGGGAGGCTGAGGCAGATGGATCACCTGAGGTCATCAGTTCAAGACCAGCCTAGCCAATGTGGTGAAACCCCATCTCTACTAAAAATACAAAAATTAGTCGGACGTGGTGGCGCAAGCCTGTAGTCCCAGCTACTCGGGAGGTTGAGGCAGGAGAAATCGCTTGAACCTGGGGGATGGAGGTTGCAGTGAGCTGAGATGATACCACTGCACTCTAGCCTGGGTGACAGAGTGAGACTGTCTCAAAAAAAAAAAAAAAAAAAAAAAGAAAAAAAGAAAATACTGGTTCTGATAAGAACTAGTTCACTTATGATGTGTTATGTTTCTATTTAATGCATATTGGTTTGTAATTCAGTAAAAAACTAAACATGTGCCCACATGGATGTTTGTGTGTGTGCTGGAGGAAAGTTACCCATTTTCTAGGTTCCTTATTCAGTTCAAATCTCTGGCACCACCCCCTACATCCCACGCCCTCACCAGAACACAGTCCCAACTCTCCTGGGTGACCAGCTTGCCTCCTTATACCTCACCTTGGAACATATGGTCCTTCTGTAATGAGTACTTGCTTGAAAGGTTTTTTTGGCTTCATCCACTCGGGCCATGGTGTTCTCTTTCCAGCGACGTAATGCCCCGCTGCAGATGCATGGGTGCGAGGAAGGCAGATGACACCAGGATAGAGAGAGAAGGGAGGCTTCTGTGAATCATTCCTACTTCTTCCCCTACTCCTGAGTCAGGGACTCTACACCTAAGAATGTCTGTTTCACCAACACCTATGTTTACTTGCACATCTATGTCCAACAAATGGCTACTGAGCAGCTGCTCTGGGCTGGGCACCAAGAGTGCATGAGGGACCCAGCACTGCTGGAGACCAAACTCCAGGTGCTACGGGGATAACAGGGCATAACCAGGCAGTGGCAACACAGGTGACTCACACTGTGATAAGAGAAGTGTGGAGAGACAGGGAACCTGGAGGAAGGTTGCCTACGCCTCAGCTTGCTGCTGAGTTAGCTCAGGGAGTTCTTGCTTATTCCACCCTGTCTGAAGAGCGGGATGGGTGCTCTATGGGACTCCATATGAGGGATGGAGGCATTTATTTTATTTATTTACTTTTGAGAGACAGGGTCTCACTCCATCGCCCAGGCTGGAGTGCAGTGGCATAATCACGGCTCACTGTGGCCTTGACCTTCAAGGTTCAAGTGACCCTCCCACCTAAGCCTCCCAAGTACCTGAACCACAGGCATACATGACCGTGCCTAGCTAATTTTTTTTATATTTAGTACAGACAAGGTCTCGCTATGTTGCCCAGGCTGGTCTGAAACTCCTGGTGTCAAACAGCCTCCTAAAGTGCTGGGATTACAGGCATGAGCCACCGCGCCCAGCTAAGGATGGAGGTGTTTAAAGTCCACGAGACCCACTGTCCATAGGCCACCAGGAGTATCATGTGCTGAACAAATACAAAGGAAGGAAATGAAAGGGGGCATGTGGGAGGACTGCTGGGAAGGAGTGAGGTTAGAGTTGGGCTTAGAAAGAGTGGCAGAAGCTGCAGAAGCACCCTCCACAGGGGTGAGTGGTGCAGATGGTCTGACAGGGCCTAGAGGTGACGCTGGAGAGTCAGTGACAGGCCTGCAGAGCAAGCTGGAAGGGGACTACTTGGAAATTGACAGGAAAGGGAGTCGCTGAAGCCTCTGGAGTGGAAGAGATGACAAGGTGCCTTGCAAAGCTGAATTTTGTAGGCGTGAAGCAGGGAGGAAAAAGTGCTCAGAAGAGCAAGACAAGTGGCCTTTAAGGCATGCAGGTAACAGCTGCTTTCCAAGGTCCTGCCCTGCACACAGCAGGGGCTTAAGACATGAAGGCGAACCCGTGAGTGAAGTGGAAAAGCCAAGACCATGATATTAGCGACTAGGAACCCGGGATCATCCCCGACCTGGCCCTCAGCAGGACCCCCTAAAAGGCTGGGGTTTGGAGTGCATTCCTTGTTCCCCAGCTGGAGCTTGGGAGGCGCCCGGGAGACTCACCGCAGCAGCTGCCTGTTGTGCTGGCTCTCCCTGGCTGCCACCTCCCGGAGGATGCTTCGCACCCTGCCCTGGTAAGTCTGTAGGGGACAAGGAAGACTGAGGCTGCTCTTGGGCCCACACTTCCCCCTGTTTAGGCAGGCCTCAGAGGTGCATCTACCACAAGGCTGCCATGCCCAGAGAACTCAAAAAGGGTAGGAAGAGGCCAACAGCCCCTGGTCCCAGGGCCAGCAGACCCTCCCAGACGACAGGGAGAAACTGTCTCACAGGCCCTCACCTCCTAAGTCAAACCATGGGACTCCAGGGAAAGGAGCTGCTTTCGCTACAAGGCTAGTACCCACAGACAGCACTTGTTTCCACTTGGCCAAGCAAGAATCAAAGAACCCTATGGCCTAAGGCCCGCTGTCCGGGGCACCTGCTTGGTTTGAGGTGTGTCACGTGACTCTGTTCTGGGACGGACAGGAAGAACAAGGAAGGAAAACAAAGTCTCCAGAAACCTCCCCTGTCCCCACAGCAAGATCAGGAGGGAAGCAGCAGTTCCTACCACCCATGCCTGCAGCGCCCTGTGCAGCACGCTGTGCTGGTGGTGCAGGTCTGCTCGCATCAGCTTCTGCCGCTCCGCTCCCCGCAGGGCCAGGCACTGCAGACAGAGGAGAAAGCAGCTACCGTGGGCTGGGGTCTGAGTTGGGGGTGGCTTCCTGCTTTGCCTCCATTTTATACATCATCTGTGTGAGTGTAAATTAACCTCTCTGGCCTCATCTATAAATACGTGCTTCTTAGGGGTTCTGTGATGATTTGATGAGGTAAGTGCTTGATTTGCGGTAAAAGCTCAATTAATGTGAGTTTAAACATGTTTTACACTCAGTAGGACGTAGGACTCCTGTAAATGGTTAGATCAGGAATTTTAGATGCAGTAAGTTCAAATAAGAACAGCCTAGGATCTGAAAGAACACAAAATTTTGAGCCAAATCAGCTCATAAAACTGAGTTAACACTTTCTATGCTGCCTGTTCTCCTCCTTCAGCTCAGAGGTAGGTGGTGTGGCCCATATGTTGCCTGTGAGTCCTGCTGACACACAGCCCACCTGTCCAAAAGTCATACACGGGTGGCACCTCGCACCAAAGCCTTACCTCCCTCCACTGGCTCCAGGCCCAACGCAGGAGCTGGGCCATGTGGAATTCTGCTGCCCGCACCCTGCCCGTCCTCCTGTGGGGAGATGGCAGAGCTCAGTGCTGCAGCCCCCACCCAGTGAGGGCACCCTCTATGGGTTCCTCCTCATAGTCCATAGCCCTACCTGGTTAAGTTTTTGGGGGAGCCAAGACCCTCTCTGAAGAGCTGCCAAAGAACTTGCAGTCTCAGAAAAAAGCACCTATGATCAAATTTTGGCCTACAACTTCCCAGGGCTTCAGGTGCCATTGAAGCTCACATGTGCAGGTGTGAAGCCCCCAACTGAGAAACTGGTTAAACATGGTCAGTGTGCGACAGGGAGTGAGATCCTCAGAACACACAGTGGACACTGAAAGGCCCCAAAGCAGGACAGTCTCTATAGTGACTGGGCTGCCTCCCCTCCTCTCTCTTAACTACGTGGTGTGGTTAAAAACTGCCACAACCCACCCACTGGCCACAGCTGCTGTCCCTATCCCTTATCTGCAGCAGTCAGCTATCACAATATGGGCCCATCAGTTTATTCCCTGGCTATGGTCACTTTTGTTCGTTTGAGGCAGAGTCTCGCTCTGTTGCACAGGCTGGAGTGTAGCGGTGCCATCTCGGTTCACTGCAACCTTCACTTCCCGGGTTCATGCCAATTTCCGTGCTTCACTCTCCTGAGTAACTGGGATTACATGCTTGCGCCACCACGCCTGGCTAATTTTTGTATTATTAATAGAGAGGGTTTTCTCCATGTTGGTCAGGCTGGTCTCGAACTCCTGACCTCTGGTGATCTGCCCGCCTCAGCCTCCCAAAGTGCTGGGATTACAGGCGTGAGCCACTGTGCCCGGCCAACCTAGTTTTACTTAAGACTCTTTTAGGTTGAACTTCCAGAACTTACAACCAGAGTCTGGGGTAATGCAGTCCTCCAGACAGGCACTTGGAGCTCATGGTGCTGCTAGAACAAGCAAAGCTGGCCTGTGATGGAAAGGCTTGTAAGGCAGAACTGGCCACTCACTCTGTTCTGAGCCCTTGGGCACTTTCCCTCCAGAGGCAGAAAGCTTTCTTGAGCCGCCCGTGGCGGTGGTGGGCACAGGCCACTGTTTGCCACTCCTGCTCCTGGTGACGTGCTGCTGCCTGCTGGTGCCACATGAACCAAGACCTATACAGAAGCTGTCGCTCTGCGTGAAGGATGGCCTGAGGCAGGACAGGAAGGAGAGAACAGAATAAATCAAGTAGGAGAGAGGCACAGAAGCCAGGAAAGAATTTACAGGCCACAAATAATGACTAAGGCAAAAGGAATGGATGTCAGGACGTGGTCCAGCCCAGAAGCTGTCTGTAGGCTCCACTGAGAAAGGACAGATGCCCCAGAGCCTGCCCTGCCTCAACAGTCACAGGCAGGGGCCCTCCAGTGAGGTCCGAGCAACTTCCTGAGGAGGGGAGGCCGTGAGTGCAATGGCTTGAATCAGATCCTGCCCCTCCACACATCTCCTCAGGGACAGCCATTTACCATTCTCTCTGCCAGGCGGTTTTCTCGATGCTGAAACATCTTCTGCCTCCAGAGAGAAAATACTTGCTTCTCTAATGTCTCCCTAAAAAACAAGGAAGAATGTAAAGCACTTAAAACAAACATAAAAATTAACCCAAACAGAACTAGAAGTTCCAAATAATTGGATTTTTCCTTTTATACCATGCTATCGTATAAGAGGTGAATTAAGTGGCTGGGCACAGTGGCCCATGTCTGCAATCCTAATACTTTGGGAGGCCAAGGCAGGAGGATCGCTGGAGGCCAAGACCAGCCTGGGCAACATAGCAAAACTCCATCTCTACAAAAAAATTTTAAAATTGCTGGGTGTGATGGTGTGTGCCTGTAGTACCAACTACCTGGGAGGCTGAGGTGGGGGGATCGCCTGAGCCCAGGAGTTTGAGGCTGTGGTGAACTATGATCACGCCACTCCACTCCAGCCTGGGCAACAGAGTGAGACCCCGTCTCTGAAAAAAATAAAAGAGGTGAATAAGCTTAGATGAGGGAGAAAGCAACACAAAGAGAAAGGGAAGGAAAGCAGACAGCCAAAAAACCATAAACTGTTAAAAAGGCCAACATTTTCCAGGTTGTTTCTGGTATCAGCCAAGCCTTCACACCGTACGAAAAAGACTCAGACCCTGAGACCCCAGGTCTTCATTAATTCTATATTGACTTAACAGCACTGATAAAGGATTGTTCATGAGAGCCCTTTCCAGTGCATGCTGACCAACGCTTTGGGGACCTGTTGAAAAACAAGGGGCAGACCCCTAAGGCTGACTGAGCAAGTCTGAGGGGGGGTCCCAGGAAATAGTATTTTAAACAAGTATTTCAGGTGAATTAGAAAAGTAGAAAGGTTGGCCGGGCATAGTGGCTCACGCCTGTAATCCCAGCACTTTGGGAGGCCGAGGTGGGCGGATCATGAGGTCAGGAGATCGAGACCATCCTGCCTAACACGGTGAAACCCCATCTCTACTAAAAATATAAAAAATTAGCTGGGCCTGGTGGTGGGCGCCTGTAGTCCCAGCTACTTGGGAGGCTGAGGCAGGAGAATGACATGAACCCGGGAGGCGGAGCTTGCAGTGAGCCGAGATCGTGCCACTGCACTCCAGCCTGGGCCACAGAGGTTGCAAAAAAAAAAAAAAAAAAAAAAGTAAAGAAAAGTAAAAAGGTTTGGGAACCACTGTTTTGTCATCTCTGCCTAGGCCTACAGATCACCATTAACAACATCAAATCCTGCAGCAGCAGTGCTGGGACAATTGACCAACAGCCACTAGGGGCTACATGTTGGTGAAGCCACAGGATCCATGTTCAGCACTGGGGGATCTTGCTCCCCTGACATTTAACACGCAAGACACATCACTTAAAGCAAAGATTCCACTTCTAGTCAGAACACAGTCACTGGTCCTGGATCTGCCCTCTGGCCATATATGACAAAACTAGACAAAATACATATGGCAACTGTCTTCAGGCGCTGGACAGTAAGTGTAGATTCTGATGCTGAAAAGATAGGACACGGGCGAGGTGAGCCCCTAGGCCGCCCAGACTTTCTGCCTGGGGGCACCTTCTAAACAGTGAGGGGAAGGGAGGCTAAGCAGAGCCTCCCTCAGTCTCAGTGAGCTGAGGAGGCAAAGACTGGAGTTCATGACTGCCAGAGGGGCTGGAATTTGGGGTCAGGGTACTAGAAAGGAGACAGCTGAACAGAGGGAAATACCCAAAATTTTACTGAGGTTGTCCCAGGTCCTCAGATGAGGGCCTGGAGGCCTAGCAGAGAGTGACTGCTGCAGGGCCAAGAGGGGAACAGAGACAGCAGAAGCTGGACAGGGTTGAAAGACGGAGCTCTGGCCCAGCCAGAGGGCAGAGACCAGACACAAAAGCTGAGATCGTTCAACCCCAGTTGACCTTAGTATAAAAACACTAAAAGATCATCTTTAGGCTGAAGGGAAATGATACAGATGAACATTCAAATGTACAGGAAGACACAAGGAACACTGGAAAGGGAAAATATGTGGGTAAATATAAGAGGCTGAATTTTTTTCTTCTCAATTTATAAAAAGAGTACTGATTATTTAAAGCAAAAATAGTAACGTTGTAGGCTGGGCCTGGTGGCTCATGCCTGTAATCCTAACACTTCAGGAGGCTGAGGCAGGAGGATTGCTTGAACTCAGGAGTTCAAAACCAGCCTGGGCAGCATAGTGAGACCTCGTCTCTACAATCAATCAATCGTTAGACATAAAATGTATGACAAAAAGTACCACTGGTTGGGGGTGGTGGCTCACTCCTGTAATCCCAGCACTTTGAAAGGCTGAGGCAGGAGGATGTCTTGAGCCCAGAAGTTCAAGACCAGCCTGGACAACATAGTGAATCCCCACTATGATTTATTTCTTAAAAAAAAAAAAAATAACAACAATAAAAATATCATCAAGGATGGGGACAAAATAGAATTTTATTGTTTTCATGTTCTTGCACTAAACATGAAATGGTATATTAATTCTAAACAGAACTGGGCCAGGCATGGTGGCTCACGCCTGTAATCCCAGAACAGTGAGAGGCCATGGCAGGAGGATCACTTGACCCCAGGAGTTTGAGACCAGACTGGGTGACATAGTGAGACCCTTTTTCTACAAAAAATTAGAAAAAAAAATTAGTCTGGGCTAGGCACGGTGGCTCACGCCTGTAATCCCAGCACTTTGGGAGGCCAAGGCAGGTGGATCACGAGGTCAAGAGATGGAGACCATCCTGGCCAACCCAACATGGTGAAACCCTGTCTCTACTAAAAATACAAAAATTAGCTGGGCGTGGTGGCGTGTGCCTATAGTCCCAGCTACTTGGGAGGCTGAGGCAGGAGAATCGCTTAAACCTGGGAGGCGAAGATTGCAGTGAGCCGAGATTGTGCCACTGCCACTGCACTCCAGCCTGGCAATAGAGCGAGATTCTGTCTCAAAAAAAAAGGCTTTTCAACAAATGGTGCTGGAAAAACCTGATAAACACAGAAAAAAATAAACCTTGACTCCTACGTCATATCATATGTAGAAAAAAAATTCAAGATGATCATTGACCTAAATGTAAATGCTAAAACTATAAAGCTTCCAGATAAAATATAGGAAAATATATTTTCAGATCTTAGAGTAGCAAATATTTCTTAGGGAGGACCCTAAAATCACTAACCATAAAAAAAAAGGATAAATTGGGCCGGGCGCGGTGGCTCACACCTGTAATCCCAGCACTTTGGGAGGCCGAGGCGGGCGGATCACAAGCTTAGGAGTTCGAGATCAGCCTGACCAACACAGTGAAACCCCGTCTCTACTAAAAACACAAAAATTAGCTGGTCGTGGTGGTGTGCGCTTGTAATCCCAGCTACTCAGGAGGCTGAGGCAGGAGAGTTGCTTGAACCTGGGAGGTGGAGGCTGCAGTGAGCTGAGATCGTGCCACTGCACTCCAGCCTGGGCAACAGAGCAAGACTCCATCTCAAAAAAAAAAAAAAAAAAAAAAGATAAACTGGACTGTATCAATCCAACAGAATTCAAACACTTCTGCTCATCAAAAAAAAAAAAAAAAAAAAAAAGGCCAGGCGCAGTGGCTTATGCCTGTAATCCCAGCACTCTGGGAGGCCGAGGCGGGCGGATCACGAGGTCAGGAGATCGAGACCATCCTGGCTAACAGTGAAACCCCGTCTCTACTAAAAATACAAAAAATTAGCTGGGCGTGGTGGCAGGCGTCTGTAGTCCCAGCTACTCGGGAGGCTGAGGCAGGAGAATGGCATGAACCTGGGAGGCAGAGCTTGCAGTGAGCTGAGACAGCGCCACTGCACTCCAGCCTGGGCGACAAGAAAAAAACCATGCAAAACTAACCTATGATGACGGAAATCAGAATACTGGTTACCTATGCAGGGTAGGGACTGACTGGAGGGGACATGAAGGAACTTTCTGGGGTAACAGAAATGTTCTGTATCTTGACTGGAGTGTTGATTATATAGGTGCATAAATTATGAAAACTCGGCCGGGCATGGTGGCTCACGCCTGTAATCCCAGCATTTTGGGAGGCCAAGGCGGGCGGATCATGAGGTCAGGAGATCCAGACCATTCTGGCTAACACAGTGAAACCCCTTCTCTACTAAAAAAAAAAAAATACAAAAAATTAGCCGGGTGTGGTGGTGGGCACCTGTAGTCCCAGCTACTCAGGAGGCTGAGGCAGGAGAATGGCATGAACCCAGAAGGTGGAGCTTGCAGTGAGCCAAGATCACGCCACTGCACTCCAGCCTGGGCAACAGAGCGAGACTCCGTCTCAAAAAAAAAAAAAACCTATGAAAACTCATCGAACTTTATTTAAAATCTATGCCTTTCACTGTATACACATTTTATCTCGATTAAAATAAAAGACAAACCAATTTTGTCTCATTCTCAGTACCTTTCACTGGAGGGTTATAAAAATTATTTTTAGCCATAATTCATGAGATTCCATCATAAAATCTGTCTATATTCCTAAAACATTAAAAAATACCCTAAGAATATCAAAGATACATATTTATTTGGAACTTTAATTTGCTAAACTCCAAACCAATCCTCTGAAAATGTACTTACCATGAGAGTCACAAATTAAAACAACTCCAGGGGCCACAGGGACAGTTCATATTTTTATGCTAGGCCCTTGGTTTGCATTTTACATGTTTTCCCATTTCATTTTCATGACAACCATATGAGATAGAGACTATGACCACATCATCTCAATTTTACATTCGAGGAGACTGAGGCTCAGAGAGACAGACTGACTTGTCCAGGGTCACAGAGCTGGCAGGCGACAGAGCATAGGTCTGAACTCAGGCTTGTCCAGCTTCTAAGCCAGACTCTCAATCACTCTGCTCATGAACAAGGAAAACAGGAATCCAAAAAACCAAGTTTACTGAAAAGGTCCAACCAAGCCAAAACAGGTAAAAATCTAGATCAGGCCTACACCGTCCTGCAAGCCTCCTGGCTATACCCTGTCTCCAAGTCGCCCTCTGCCCTTTTTCTCCAGAGTGATAGCTCTAAAACCACCCAAACTGCTCCCTAGCAAAAATCCTTTAAAGGCTCCTCTTGGCTATTTGGAAGGTACTTTTAATTTTTGGTTCTCACAGCATACAAAATACAAAAAAAGAATAGAACCAAGCACGGCTACTTGACAGTAAAAAAAGAAACGGGTACTGTGTGTGCATGTTTTCAGTACTGAAGCCATTTGGAAACGGGTACTGTGTGTGCGTGTCTTCAGTACTGAAGCCATTTAGAAACGGGTACCGTGTGTGCGTGTCTTCAGTACTGAAGCCATTTAGAAACGGGTACCGTGTGTGCGCGTTTTCAGTACTGAAGCCATTTAGAAACGGGTACCGTGTGTGCGTGTCTTCAGTACTGAAGCCATTTAGAAACGGGTACTGTGTGTGCGTGTCTTCAGTACTGAAGCCATTTAGAAACGGGTACTGTGTGTGCGTGTTTTCAGTACTGAAGCCATTTTTTTTTTTTTTTTTTGAGATGGAATCTTGCTCTGTCACCTAGGCTGGAGTGCAGTGGTGCGATCTCGGCTCACTGCAATCTCCACCTCCTAGGTTCAAGCGATTCTCCTGCCTCAGCCTCCCGAGTAGCTGGGATGTGCGCCACCATGCCTGGCCAATTTTTGTATTTTTAGTAGAGATGGGGTTTTGCCATGTTGGTCAGACTGGTCTCCAACTTCTGACCTCAGGTGATCCACCTGCCTTAGCTTCCCCAAGTACTGGGATTACAGGTGTGAGCCACCGCGTCCAGCCTGAAGCCATTTTTGAATGAATCTTATACCAGCCCACAATACATGACTAGGTAAAGGCAAAGCTGCTCTGTCTGCAGAAGCCAGAAGAGACAAGAGATGTCCTTTCATCAGCCTCTATTTCCCGTGGCCACCACCTAAAACCATCTCCCTGGACTTCGTACTAAGGAAGCCAGAGTTCTGGCTAACCTCAAACTAGCATTCAAAGCCCTCCAGATGGATAGACAGATAGATAGAGAGAGAGAGAGATATTTATTTTGAGATGGAGTCTCGCTCTGTCATCCAAGGCTGGAGTGCAGTGGCGCCATCTCAACTCACTGTAGCCTCTGCCTCCTGGGTTAAAGTGATTCTTGTGCCTCAGCCTCCGGAGTAGCTGGGATTATAAGCATGCACCACCACGCCCCGCTAATTTTTGTATTTTTAGTAGACATGGGGTTTCACCATGTTGGCCAGGCTGGTCTGAAACTCCTGACCTCCAATGATCCACCCACCTCTGCCTCCCAAAGTGCTGGGATTACAGGCATGAGCCGCCACACCTGGCCTGAAATCCTCCAGATTAAAGATGACTGCAACTTCTCCCAATGCATGCCCCTCCATCTCACCCCTCTGTCCTAAGATAAAGTACACTGAACTTAAGGTAATTTCCAAAACTGTCATTTTACTAGTTCCATGTACCTGCTCAAATATCTTTCGAATATCTATCTATAGGGTCAGCCCAATCTCTTCAGTCTGGGCCTCCCCATCTTGCCCACTCCAGCCACCATCCTCACCCTCTCACTCACAGGAAGCCTCTCCCAGATACTTCCATGCTCAGTCTCCCTCAGCACTAGCTCTGAGCACTGGAAGAACTTGTGGCTGACATGACTGGGGACACGTGGATCTGTTCTCTTGAATTGGTTCTCAGTTGTTTCTTATCTCCTCACAAAAATTTCACCCTCCTACAAAGTCATCAAAAAGATCTTCCTCTTGATCAAGAAGAAAGCACCTGGACTTTGGAACTGGAGATGTGAATTAACCTGGCTGTACCACTTACTGGTTGTGTTACCATTTATCATTTTGAACCTGACCTCTCAGAATCACTGTGAAAAGGAAATTATTAATGAAGATAATGATGCCATGGGCAGAATGAGTTTATGTATTTGTTTTCTGTCTCCCATCACACAATGCCCAACACAGTGGCAGACATACAGTTAGTGATTAATAATTTCTTCATTACAGGCTGGGCGTGGTGGCTCATGCCTGTAATCCCAGCACTTTGGGAGGCCAAGGCGGGTGGATCACGAGGTCAGGAGTTCGAGACCAGCCTGGCCAACATGGTGAAACCCCGTCCCTACTAAAGATACAAAAAATTAGCCGGGCGTGGTGGCGCACACCTGTAATCCCAGCTACTTGGGAGGCTGAGGCAGGAGAATTACTTGAACCCAGGATGTGGAGTTTGCCGTGAGTCAAGATGGTGCCACTGCATGCCAGCCTGGGCGAAAGGACAAGACTCCAACTCAAAAATAAATAAATAAATAAATAAATAAATTATTATTATTTCTTCATTATGTCCCACCATATACTAAGAACCTGCTGTGGGCAAGTTTGTCCCTGTGGGAACTAAAAAGATGTAGATCTGCTCCTTGAGCTTTCTAATTTTTTTTTTTTTTTTTTTTTTTGAGACAGAGTCTCACTCTGTCGCCCAGGCTAGAGTGCAGTGGTGTGATCTCAGCTCACTGCAAGCTCCGCCTCCCAGGTTCATGCCATTCTCCTGCCTCAGCCTCCTGAGTAGCTGGGACTACAGTCGCCCACCACCACGCCCGGCTAATTTTTTGTATTTTTAGCAGAGACAGGGTTTCTCCGTGTTAGCCAGGATGGTCTTGATCTCCTGACCTCGTGATCCGCCCGCCTTGGACTCCCAAAGTGCTGGGATTACAGACATGAGCCACCAGGCCCGGCCTTTTTCTTTTCTTTTTTTTTTTTTTTGAGACGGCGTCTCGCCCTGTCACCCAGGCTGGAGTGCAATGATGCGATCTCAGCTCACGGCAACCTCCATCTCCCAAGTTCAAGCAATTCTCCTGCCTCAGCCTCCCGAGTAGCTGGGATTACAGGCATGTGCCACCAGACCGGGCTAATTTTTGTATCTTTAGTAAAGAGAGGGTTTCACCATGTTGGCCAGGCTGGTCTTGAACTCTTGACCTTGTGATCCGCCCGCTCCGGCCTCCCAAAGTGCTGGGATTACAGGTGTGAGCCACTGCACCCGGCCCGACCTTTGTAATTTTGTTGATGACTATCATTTCAAGACTTCAAAAAGCCAGGTCTAGCAGAACAGGAACTAAGTGTTTCGGGGAAATGACACTTAAGAATGTCTGCCAAGGTGAGGCAAGGTCCCACCGTGCTCTGATCCAGAAAGCTAATGGGCTGCTTTAATGGAGCTCTCAGTGGCTAATAATGAAGGTTACAAACAGGCTGTTTTGAAAGCCCTTGAAATAAAGATGGACACCTCCCTCTCCCTCTCCCTCTCCCTGTCCCTCTCCCTCTCCCTCGTCTCCGTCTCCCCATGGTCTCCCTCTCATGCGGAGCCGAAGCTGGACTGTACTGCTGCCATCTCGGCTCACTGCAACCTCCCTGCCTGATTCTCCTGCCTCAGTCTGCCGAATGCCTGCGATTGCAGGCACGCGCCGCCACGCCTGACTGGTTTTGGTGGAGACGGGGTTTCGCTGTGTTGGCCGGGCCGGTCTCCAGCCCCTAACCGCGAGTGATCCACCAACCTCGGCCTCCCGAGGTGCCAGGATTGCAGACGGAGTCTCGTTCACTCAGTGCTCAATGGTGCCCAGGCTGGAGTGCAGTGGCGTGATCTCGGCTCACTACAACCTACACCTCCCAGCCGCCTGCCTTGGCCTCCCAAAGTGCCGAGATTGCAGCCTCTGCCCGGCCGCCACCCCGTCTGGGAAGTGAGGAGTGTCTCTGCCTGGCCGCCCATCGTCTGGGATGTGAGGAGCCCCTCTGCCTGGCTGCCCAGTCTGGAAAGTGAGGAGCGTCTCCACCCGGCCGCCATCCCATCTAGGAAGTGAGGAGCGCCTCTTCCCAGCCGCCATCACATCTAGGAAGTGAGGAGCGTCTCTGCCCGGCCGCCCATCGTCTGAGATGTGGGGAGCGCCTCTGCCCCGCCGTCCCATCTGGGATGTGAGGAGCGCCTCTGCCCGGCCGAGACCCCGTCTGGGAGGTGAGGAGCGTCTCTGCCCGGCCGCCCCGTCTGAGAAGTGAGGAGACCCTCTGCCTGGCAACCACCCCGTCTGAGAAGTGAGGAGCCCCTCCGCCCGGCAGCCGCCCCATCTGGGAGGTGAGGAGCGTCTCCGCCCGGCAGCCACCCCGTCCGGGAAGGAGGTGGGGGGGGGTCAGCCCCCCGCCCGGCCAGCCGCCCCATCCGGGAGGGAGGTGGGGGGTCAGCCCCCCCGCCCGGCCAGCCGTGCCGTCCGGGAGGGAGGTGGGGGGGTCAGCCCCCCACCTGGCCAGCCGTGCCGTCCGGGAGGGAGGTGGGGGGGTCAGCCCCCCGCCCGGCCAGCCGCCCCGTCCGGGAGGTGAGGGGCGCCTCTGCCCGGCCGCCCCTACTGGGAAGTGAGGAGCCCCTCAGCCCGGCCAGCCAGCCCGTCCGGGAGGGAGATGGGGGGGTCAGCCCCCCCGCCTGGCCAGCCGCCCCGTCCGGGAGGGAGGTGGGGGGGTCAGCCCTCCCCCCGGCCAGCCGCCCCGTCTGGGAGGTGAGGGGCGCCTCTGCCCGGCCGCCCCTACTGGGAAGTGAGGAGCCCCTCTGCCCAACCAGCCGCCCCATCCGGGAGGGAGGTGGGGGGGTCAGCCCCCCGCCCGGCCAGCCGCCCTGTCTGGGAGGGAGGTGGGGGGGTCAGCCCTCCGCCTGGCCAGCCGCCCCGTCTGGGAGGTGAGGGGCGCCTCTGCCCGGCCGCCCCTACTGGGAAGTGAGGAGCCCCTCTGCCCGGCCAGCCGCCCCGTCCGGGAGGGAGGTGGGGGGGTCGGCCCCCCGCCCGGCCAGCCGCCCCATCCGGGAGGGAGGTGAGGGGGTCGGCCCCCCGCCCGGCCAGCCGCCCCGTCCGGGAGGGAGGTGGGGGGGTCAGCCCCCTGCCCGGCCAGCCGCCCCGTCCGGGAGGGAGGTGGGGGGGGTCAGCCCCCCTGCCCGGCCAGCCACCCCGTCTGGGAGGTGAGGGGCGCCTCTGCCCGGCCGCCCCTACTGGGAAGTGAGGAGCCCCTCTGCCCAACCAGCCGCCCCATCCGGGAGGGAGGTGGGGGGGTCAGCCCCCCGCCCGGCCAGCCGCCCTGTCTGGGAGGGAGGTGGGGGGGTCAGCCCTCCGCCTGGCCAGCCGCCCCGTCTGGGAGGTGAGGGGCGCCTCTGCCCGGCCGCCCCTACTGGGAAGTGAGGAGCCCCTCTGCCCGGCCAGCCGCCCCGTCCGGGAGGGAGGTGGGGGGGTCGGCCCCCCGCCCGGCCAGCCGCCCCATCCGGGAGGGAGGTGAGGGGGTCGGCCCCCCGCCCGGCCAGCCGCCCCGTCCGGGAGGGAGGTGGGGGGGTCAGCCCCCTGCCCGGCCAGCCGCCCCGTCTGGGAGGGAGGTGGGGGGGGTCAGCCCCCCTGCCCGGCCAGCCACCCCGTCTGGGAGGTGAGGGGCGCCTCTGCCCGGCCGCCCCTACTGGGAAGTGAGGAGCCCCTCTGCCCGGCCAGCCGCCCCGTCCGGGAGGGAGGTGGGGGGGGTCAGCCCCCCCGCCCAGCCAGCCGCCCCGTCCGGGAGGTGAGGGGCGCCTCTGCCCGGCCACCCCTACTGGGAAGTGAGGAGCCCCTCTGCCCAGCCAGCCGCCCCGTCCGGGAGGGAGGTGGGGGGTTCAGCCCCCCGCCCGGCCAGCCGCCCCGTCCGGGAGGGAGGTGGGGGGGGTCAGCCCCCCTGCCCGGCCAGCCGCCCCGTCCGGGAGGTGAGGGGCGCCTCTGCCCGGCCACCCCTACTGGGAAGTGAGGAGCCCCTCTGCCCGGCCACCACCCCGTCTGGGAGGTGTGCCCAATAGCTCATTGAGAACGGGCCAGGATGACAATGGCGGCTTTGTGGAATGGAAGGGCGGGAAAGGTGGGGAAAAGATTGAGAGGTCGGATGGTTGCCGTGTCTGTGTGGAAGGGAGTAGACATGGGAGACTTTTCATTTTGTTCTGCACTAAGAAAAATTCCTCTGCCTTGGGATCCTGTTGATCTGTGACCTTACCCCCAACCCTGTGCTCTCTGAAACATGTGCTGTGTCCACTCAGAGTTAAATGGATCAAGGGCGGTGCAAGATGTGCTTTGTTAAACAGATGCTTGAAGGCAGCATGCTCATTAAGAGTCATCACCACTCCCTAATCTCAAGTAACCAGGGACACAAACACTGCGGAAGGCCGCAGGGTCCTCTGCCTAAGAAAACCAGAGACCTTTGTTCACTTGTTTGTCTGCTGACCTTCCCTCCACTATTGTCCCATGACCCTGCCAAATCCCCCTCTGTGAGAAACACCCAAGAATTATCAATAAAAAAATAAATAAATAAATAAATAAATAAATAAAAAGAAAAAAGTTGGAATATAGAAAAGCCAGTAGTAAAACTAATCAAGAAAAAGAGAGAAGCAATTCAAATTTAAAAATATATATAAAAATAAAAATAAAATAAAAAGAGAAGGGGAAATGGACACATTCTCTTAAAAACTTGAAACGCTGGCCGGGCGCAGTGGCTCACGCCTGTAATCCCAGCACTTTGGGAGGCCCAGGCAGGTGGATCACCTGAGGTCAGGAGTTCGAGACCTTGCTGACATGGTGAAAGCCCCGTCTCTACTAAAAACACAAAAAATTAGCTGGGCATGGTGGCAGGCACCTGTAATTCCAGCTACTCAGGAGGCTGAGGCAGGAGAATCGCTTGAACCCGGGAGGCGGCGGTTGCAGTCAGCTGAGATCACACCACCGCACTTCAGCCTGGGCAACAGGAGTGAAACTCTGTCTCAAAAAAAAACTTGAAATGATTAATTGACATAAGAATTAGAAAATCTGAATAGCTCAACAGCCAATTACCAAAATCTGAATAACCCTTTGAGGTAAGCACTATTACTCCCCCACTGCAGAGATGAGAAAACTAGAGAATTGGTCATTTGAGTACCTTGGCCAAGGTCACAGAACAGAGCCAGGATTTGAACCCAAGCAGTCTGATTCTGTGACTTCTCTCTACTCCATGGTGGTGGATTCTATGTGTCAACTTGACTGGGCCACTGGGTGCCCAGATTAAACAGTGTTTCTGGGTGTTTGCAGATGAGACAAGCATTTGAATCTGTGGGCTCAGTAGAGCAGACTTCTCTTCCTAATGTACGGGGGCCTCAGCCAACCCCTTGAGGGCCTGAGTAGAACAAAAGGAGAAAGAATCTGCCCCTTTTGCTTCCTGCCTGCCTGCGTGGGCAGATCTCATCTCATCTTCTCCTGCCCTTCAACTGGGATTTACACCTCGAGGCCCCTTGGTTCCCAGGCCTTTGGACACAGACTGGAAT
The DNA here is from genome assembly GCF_000001405.40 of Homo sapiens. Taxonomy (NCBI): domain Eukaryota; kingdom Metazoa; phylum Chordata; class Mammalia; order Primates; family Hominidae; genus Homo; species Homo sapiens. The sequence continues at coordinate 31,589,986 of NC_000022.11, read as the reverse complement.
TGCACTACCCACTCTCCTGAGTCTCCAGCTTGCAGATGGCAGGTCATGGAACTTCTCAGCCTCCATAATAGTGTAAGTCAATTCCTCATAATAAGTCTCTTCATGTATATGTTAACTTGACTAAGCCACTGGCTGTTCAGATTAAACACTACACATTTTTTTTAATAAATACATATATACACACACACAAAAAAAATAAATAAATAAAGATGGACAAAAGATTTCCCAGGGGAAACACTGTCTTGTCTTTTCCTGCTAGATGAAATCAATGAGCCCACATTACTGAAAATCCAGGAAGTACTAGGGCCTGGGGTCTGGGAAGCTGAAAAGCACAGCAAATGGGCTGTGTGGTTGTCAGAGTTAGATTTGAAACACCTGCCCCAGTGCAGACAGGAGCTGCGCAACATACCTGTGGAAACGTGTTGCTCTTGCACTGAGGACATTTTCCTGGTGGCGCCATCGCCAGAGTCTGTTCCATGTGTGGAAGGCAGCAGGCAGGGCTCTCTGCTGGAAATGACCATCCGCTCTGGCCTGTAGCAGCTAAAGTAAAAGAATGAATAACCTTTGTACTTAACTTTTTTTTTTTTAAACATGACCTCTCAGGGTCACACCCTTGTGGGAGGATTGCTTCCTATATAATAAAAATGAGAAAAAGATGAATCATTATTTATTATCTTTGCCAATATGCTAGGTGAAAAATGAAATAGGATAGGTAAAAAAATTTTCACTTAAACATTAGTTAAACATTTCTACACACACACACACACACACACACGCACACACATACACACACTCTCACTCACTCTCTCTTCCCCCTGGCTTAGGTGTTCATACCCATTACCTGTTTCACTGTCTGTTAGCATTTGACTCAGTGATATGTATGGGGTTTTTGAACCTAAACAATTTATTAGTCCTTTGTCATGTGTTATAAATCTTAAATATTTCCCCACCCCATAATATATCTTTTGATTTTGTTTATAGTGTTTGTCATACACATTAATGTAATTATAAAAGTCTACTATTTTACTGATACATCAGTAGGAAGACAGACAATGGACATAAGAATATACCATATATGTCTCCATGATCCAAAACTTTGGGGGGAAAAAGCATATATGCATGTATAGAGGTTTTATGTTTTTGTTTTTTTTGTTGTTTTTTGTTTTTTTTTTTTTGAGACAGAGTCTCACTCTGTTGCCAGGCTGGAGTGCAGTGGCACAATCTCAGCTCACTGCAACCTCCGCCTCCCGGGTTCAAGTGATTCTCCTGCCTCAGCCTCCCGAGTAGCTGGGACTACAGGCGTGCGCCACCACGCCCAGCTAATTTTTGTATTTTTAGTAGAGACAGGGTTTCACCATGTTGACCAGAATGGTCTTGATCTCTTGACCTCACGATCTGCCTGCCTTGGCCTCCCAAAGTGCTGGGATTACAGGCATGAGCCACCGTGCCCAGCCCAAATGTGTAGAGGTTTTAAAAACATGGCTGCAAATTATTTGCTCCTCCTTCACTGAGAAGTGATCTATGTTCCCTCCCCTTGAATCTGGCTGGGATAGTGACTGCTCTGACCAATAGCACATGGTAAAAGTGGCACTGTGTGAGTTCTGAGGCTATACAAAGAGCCACAGAGCTTCTGAC